>NC_000003.12:115523755-115826786 GCF_000001405.40 Homo sapiens | reverse complement strand
TTTCTAATCATTAGGAACACAAGAAAGAGGTTACATTCTTGATAGGCAGTTAAAAACTCATTTTTTGGCACAGGTTAAGTTAATTTGACATGCACAATATCTTGACGACACCATTCATTTACTCAAAGAAATATCTTAGTATTTGCTCTGAGCCGGGTTTTGGGGATGACAAAGGAGAATGAAGCAGGTACAGCCTCTGCACTAAGAGGGTTTACAGACCAAATGGAGAAGTACTTAATGAACTAAGCAACCACAGTAAACTTTAAGTCCATGTGAAGATAACTGGTAGGTGTTTGGGGAGAACAAACCAGGGCACATTAGCTAGTCTGGGCTAATGGGGGAAGACTTCCAGGTGAAAGTGAAGTTTAAAAGACAGAAACAGGCCAGGCGTGGTGGCTCATGCCTGTAATCCCAGCACTTTGGGAGGCTGAATCACAAGTTCAGGAGGTTGAGACCATCCTGGCTAACACGGTGAAACCCCGTCTCTACTAAAAAATACAAAAAATTAGCCGGGCGTGGTGGCAGGTGCCTGTAGTCCCAGCTACTCAGGAGGCTGAGGCAAGAGAATGATGTGAACCCAGGAGGCAGAGCTTGCAGTGAGCCAAGATTGCGCCACTGCACTCCAGCCTGGGTGACAGATCGAGACTCTGTCTCAAATAAAAATAAAAATAAAAATAAAAATAAAAGACAGAAAGAGAAGAAGCAGGGGAAGAGAACGACAACCCACTACCTGCAAAGGTCTAGAATCCAGAAAGAACTTAACTCACAGGGATCCACTATAAAGCCTAATAAATTTTTTAAATCTAGAAAAATAATATTTTTTACGTAAGAGTTTATCCTGTCTTGCATCTGGCCTGTTTACAAAAAGAAATAAACATGATAAACCAGTGGAGTTAAAGGTGAGGAATTTCTATAATTTACAACAATGTATGTACATTTCAGAATAGCTAGAATACTTCAAAGATTTCTACATTTCTAGCATAAAGAAAATATAAATATTTAAAGTGATGGATATCCCAATTACCCTCATTTGATCTTTATACCTTATACGAATACATCAAGTTTAAAAAATAAAGATAATTTCTAGAAAAATAAAAATAAAGGTTAGAGATTGGGCATTTTCACCTATATTACACTCAGGACCAGGAAAAGCACTTGTGGGCTTAATTGTATGGTCACACATGGATATTATGTACTGTGTGGTAGGTATTAGTATTTAGGTTTAGCTTTCTGGAGGATACTGACAGCCTGTTATTTAGCAGAATGTCTAGAGAAAACTTGCAGCTTTTCAGTAAGGAGGTTTGATGGTAGGTTTTTATTTTAGTTGTAGAAATAGGTTGTAAGGAGCCATCAGTATTTTCAGAGAGTTGCACAAGGACCTGGCTATAATGTTATATTTGGAGTCACTGACATAGCAGGAGTTATAGATAAACCAAACTTGTTATTGAAGCATTCTGGAACTCCAAAGAATAATGTTGCTGGAAGTAGTCCAAAGCAGAACTACATTTACCAAGTTCTGCACTGCGGTAGTTAGTGCAATAGAGGTAGGTCCAAGGGTGACTCAGAGCATACCAACATTTTTTAATCCCTTATCTCCTTATTTCCAGGAGCTTTAAAAACCCTGGGAAATCTCACAAATTCACTTGTTATCTTTGCATTCAAATTCTGCAGGCCAGTTACCTCGTTTCATGTTATTTGAATGGTTTTGATTTTAAAACATACAAAATGAAAAGGCATATTACGTAGATTAAAGATGGTCTTGCATGCCTTAGGATTTTAAATTTAAAATGTATTCAAAAATAGATCAGAAATTCACAATTTGGGGCTGGAAAATAGAAAGTGAGGGGTAAGACCAGAAAGAATGTAAATCTCTGGAGACCTATCCAAACCTGCATTTTTAATCTTTCTTACCAAGTCAGATAAATGAAAGTACAAAAGGCTTTAGAGTATACATAAAATTTATGTTTTTAAACACAAATATGACATATATAATCTATTTTATGTTTTAACAACTAAGAAGAATCAACAACTAAGTAGATTTAGGTCCGGAAGCTAGTTCTTTTTTTTTTTTTTTTTTAAGACGGAGTCTCGCCCTGTCACCCAGGCTGGAGTGCAATGACTCAACGGTGCAATCTCTGCTCACTGCAACCTCCGCCTCCTGGGTTCCAGCGATTCTCCTGCCTCAGCCTCCCGAGTAGCTGGGATTACAGGTGCATGCCACCACACCCGGCTAATTTTTTGTATCTTTAGTAGAGATGGGGTTTCACCATGTTGGCCAGGCTGGTCTCAAACTCCTGACCTCGTGATCTGCACGTCTTGGCCTCCCAAAGTGCTGGGATTACTGGGATTACAGGCATGAGTCACAGCAACTGGCCTGGAATATAGTTCTTTATTAAATGAGTTGGCTGGTCTCTTAATTACAACAAAGGTCAAAGGGCCAGTTTGCACCCATAGACAAGGGCCAAGGTGCATTTTAGGCACAAGGGCAGAGAAACCTGTTTCTTCTTTAAGACAGAAACTGCATGTCTAGTCCTGAGTACCTTACTGACAGCTGATCCAAATAAATTTACTTCTGGGATTTATCTAATCTTACACATATTTTCAGGTGGCATAGCCCAGAGAAACCCCTTTATTAAACTTAGCCTCTTTGGCATTCTGGAACATTTCAATTCATTGATTATTAAAAACTAAACCTCTCAGGCTAAATAAGAAACTCTCAAAATGTAAGAAAGCTGACTTGGTGCAAGAGACTTAAGAAAGCATTCTCTTTATGTTGAGAGTGTTTAGTGAGACTGCTCTTTCTGTAACAATCCGTATCACCATTGAGCAAAGCCCATAATGGTTAAAGTCAAATCATGCACCTATACTTACTTTATACGACAATACCCAGTACATCAAGCCTCTGGTCAGTAGGACCTCATCAACCTGTATGATAACATTTTTTATTGCATTGCTGTTAAGACCATGTTGCTTTGGAAATTAGGATTCACCCATCTTAGCTTCTCTTTTGCTTTACTACATGGTATCTCCCAGCTGAAAAATGGAGAAAAAATTTATTCTCCTTGTAATGTTGTCAAACTAATGCCAATGCCAAATAATCAGAAAATGATTATTTCCTTTTCTCCACATTTAAAGGTTTTTTTTAAAAAAATGCATTGATTTGTTTTTACAAATAGTTTTCTATTCTGATAATAAATGTTATGCATTCTCATTATGGAAGAATTTGAAAAATATGAAACTATAAAGAAGAAAATAAAGCTCCTGTGTAATCCCTCTCCTTAGAGATAACACCATTAATGCAATATAAACAAATGTTTTGTCTGAATGTTTGAGCTGCCAGTGTACTACAGAATGTTCAAGTTAAAAACATAAAATGTCTTCTATTTTTCCATGCTCTCAGAAGCTGGGCATGTTTCTGTTATTCGTTCAAGGTTATAGCAGAGGCAGGCCCAGGAGCTGCCCTCCTACCTGGGCCAGGGTGCTCTCCACAGTGATGTGCACACCCAAAGTGCTTTCAGGTCTTAGTCAAATATTGACTCACAAGGGATTTCCCTCATGCACCTCCAGGATCCCCAGTAAGAGTCCTCCTTTCAGATGTGGGGGCTCATATGTTCTCTCTCCAAGTTGGCGCATTAATATTTTTCCTTTAATAGATGTGTTCTTTTTAATCCAATGACAATTTAAGCATTTTTTCACATTCTATTCACTATAGAATATTTGATATAAGGAGTGAGGCCCAAATATTTTATTCACGTTTTTCAACAAGAAATTATACCAGCATTATTTTAGTTTGGTTTCATTCATTCATTCAACAAGGAATTAACACCATCTGTCTAGGGCTGCAGTATTCTGGTACTGTCTACTCATGCCTATGTCATTATTTACTCTGACAGAGCACCAAACTGAAGTCCATTTCTAGTCACAGACAACTATAAAGAAGAAAAGCCTTTAGCGGTATTTGAAAGTAAAGTGTAGCATTCCTTGCTGGCCCAAATCTAGCTAAGGGAGGCCAACTTCCTTTCTCAAATATTGATGACATGCTAAGATTGCTTAGTTTTCTCAGCTGGTTTGATGTATACTCTTAGTCATGAGGGCAATGGTCCACCTATTAACTAAGAAAATAGGAAGGCCGGGGGCAGTGGCTCACACCTGTAATCCCAGCTCTTTGGGAGGCCAAGGCGGGCAGATCACCTGAGGTTGGGAGTTTGAGACCAGCCTGACCAACATGGAGAAACTCCATCTCTACTAAAAATACAAAATTAGCTAAGCATGGTGGTATATGCCTGTAATCCCAGCTACTCGGGAGGCTGAGGCAGGATAATTGCTTGAACTTGGGAGATGGAGGTTGTGGTGGGCCGAGATCGGGCCATTGCACTCCAGCCTGGGCAAAAAGAGCGAAACTCTGTCAAAAAAAAAAAAAAAAAGAAGGAAAGAAAGAGAGAAAGAAGAAAGAAAGAAAAGAAAAAAATATAGGAAGAATCTCAAGATTGAGATTCAAATCCATTTCTCTATTTTGACTCTTTTCTTACTTCACTAGCCCCAGAATGAGTACTTTGATTCTCAGAAAACATTATTCTAGAAATATTTGACATTGAGGTTTATACAACATGAATATCATACATGGGAGAATATCAAAAGCTCTAATAATTCAAATATGAATCACAAGGCAAATACTTTTCTATGGCAAAAGAAAAAAATAATATTTACAAGTACAAGCTGCTAATCCCTAAAGCCTCTGAGTGAAGAAATCTGTGAGAAAGAAGTTAATAGCTTTCAAAGTGTGGCTTGAAAATTGAATTAATAAAAATTGCTCCCTTTTAAGCCACTATAATTATAAAGGTTTTATTTTTCAAAAATTTGGCCAATAAATAAATAAACAGAAGTCAGAGGGCAAAACCCATAAATTTCCATGGCAGAATCTTACAAATGTTATGCCTCAGGTCCTTGGCATCAGTGAGGAAGCAGCAGCAGGTATGATCTCCTCCTCTGTTTCTTTTATTACATTTCTTAATAATTTTAACCCTGCCCCTTTCTGCAATTTTCAGGAACTGGAGGATAAAATCCCTACTGAATTTGGACCTTTTCCTGTCCCACTTCTGCAAACACACACTCTTACTAACTCTGGCCCAGAATTTTAAAAGTGCCATTAATTATTCTTATGTCATTTTCAAAACCTGCAGCACATCAGAGGGTTAGCCTTATAGAAAGACTTATGTCACACACATAGAGATAATGTTTTCTTTTTCAAATGGCTGCAGCAGGTTGAAAAATAAGACATTTGTTTTCAAGTAAATACCCTAGAATTAGAACAACTGTGCAAACAATATAAACTCCCCAAACTCTACGTTACCTACATGTGAATGCAAATGAACTCTTATAAGTAGAGGATTAGAGAAAAGTTGTCAAAAGTCAAGACTGAAAGCACTAAACGTCAATTCTTTTCCTTATGAATGTGTTGTACCCTCACTTCATCTCCCAGATATAACTCAAAGAAAGCAAAATGCCAAAATTTTCCACACATAAAGATATGAAGATTTCCTAAGATAATGAGGGAGTTCCCAAACTATAAACTGTAGAGTTTCCAATGGAGCATCTTTCATCTTTGCAACACTCACTTGAATTTTTTCAGAGATGTGGATGGAGGGAGGGGGAGAGAGAGAGACAGAGAAAGAGAAAAAAATCACATCACGTAGTGAGAGATAAGAGCAAGAGATCATAGTAAAGGGTAAGAAGAAGAATAAATCTTCAAAAGAAACTTGGGCTTTTATTTGTTAAAGTTCACATTTTTATTAGTCAGGAAGGTGTTTTAAAATAAAGCTCAGCCCTCCAGAAAATGTTCTACCTGCCAGGATTTGGGAAATAAGGCAAGGACCTCCTGGCCCCATTGGCTCTTCAAATAACTGTGAATTCCCAAGAATAATCTCACCTTAGGTTCAGGCACCGTGGTTCTAAAAAGAAAATAGAATCTCCCCTCTCTAGAATCTTATCTAGGGTAACACTTGAGGTATTAATTGATTCATTCAGTCTCTCATTTTCTTATTTATTTATGCATTCAGGTATTTCTTCAGCATATCTACTGGACCATTCTTCTGTGCTAGAGAAATACCAAGCTGAGGATAGAGTAGTGAACAAGGCAGATGTATTGTCTATGCCAATAAGAGAGGTTGAATCAATGTTTTTAATGGTGCAGGCTAATGTGGCTGGGTGTAATGAATCTGAAAGTCAAAAATCAAGGACAGATTAGCTTAAATAAATGTCTCGAGGCACTTGCCTTTCCTAATATTAAATCATTTCCCCATTGTCTCCTTCTACCACCTCATCAGGAGCTAAGATCTAAGCATGTGATGGTAAGGTTCTCCAGAAAGCCTAGTACATTCTCTATACTAGAATCTCCCAGTGTTGTGTTTTGCATTGCTTCAGTCGATTTACCTTTCTCTATTATACCTTGTACCTTCACTGCCATACTTATTTGTTAAGTGTATTTGCTGAAGCAAGATTAATATTTAGTTAGAAGTCTTCCTGAAAGGCATAAAAATCATAGGTTCCAGGTTGTGTTCTAAGCACGGTGCCCTGGAAATCTCTGCAAAAATTATATCCCTGGCAATGCAGTTCGATTCACGAACATGAGATTGCATTTTCACTAGAAAAGTAAAAATAATGTTTAGGTGTTAAATGCAAAAAAAAATTCTGTCTATAACAACAGAAAATCCCCTCTTAAAGAGTACTATTTCATGCCTGGCCTGACACTGGAAAAAAAAAAAAAAGTGTTTATTTCTCCCACTATTGCCACCTCGTGGACAAAGGTGATTCATCTGCACAGCACGTAGGAGCATGTCTTAGTATTACCACAAGATGGCAACACATAACCACATTTTCAAAAATGTGCTCAGAATGTTCTGCTCCTACAGAAGGTGATGGGTAGGAAATAAGAGTCCAAAATAAGAATTCCATTCTCTTTTCCTAAAGAAAAATGGAATCCCAACTGTTAAGATCTTTAGGATTTCACAAAGAAGTTGATTTATTACAGGCATAGGGAGGAGTACTTAACATTTAACTGGCAACCTGTTTTGCTTTTTAAAGATATTTCAAGCAAATGTATATTTCATATCTGAATTTTTCTGATATTAGCTTCACAGAGTAGAATATTTGGGAATTTTTTATATGCTTCTTGTAATCAACTTTCTCTAGTTGATTCATAGGGGAGCATCTGTTTCCTAAGAGATCCATTAGAATCCATTAGAACATGTAGATTCTTACCCACACCTATGCCAGTGACAGGTTAACGCAGGCACATTGCTAGACTTTCCCTGATCAAAATATGCCCTAATCAATCCGCTTTCCTGTCACTTTTTTTTTTTTGGACAGAGTCTCACTCTGTCGCCAGGCTGGAGAGCAGTGGTGCAATCTCACTGCAATCTCCACCCTCCAGGTTCAAGCGATTCTCCTGCCTCCGCCTCCCAAGTAGCTGAGATTACAGACACGTACCACCACACCCAGCTAATTTTGTTGTATTTTTAGTAGAGACGGGGTTTCACTGTGTTGGTCGAACTCCTGACTTCGTGATCTGCCCACCTCGGCCTCCCAAAGTGCTGGGATTACAGGCGTGAGCCACTGAGCCGGGCCACTTTTGTTTTTTTGAGATGGAGTCTCGCTCTGTTGCCCAGGCTGGAGTGCAAGGGCCTGATCTCGGCTCACTGCAACCTCCGCCTCCCGGGTTCAAGTGATTCTCCTGCCTCAGCTTCCCGAGTAGCTGGGATTACAGGCACGTGCCACCACGCTGGGCTAATTTAGTAGAGATGGGGTTTCACCATGCTGGCCAGGCTGGCCTCAAACTCCCGACCTCAGGTGATCCACCTTCCTCAGCCTCCCAAAGTGCTGGGATTACAGGTGTGAGCCGCGCCCAGCCTCCAATCACTTTTTTTGTGCTAGAATCTCCCATTGTTTGTTCATCATGTTGCTGCAGTTATATATATATATATATATATATATATATATAAAAGTACAACTTTCCTTCTTTCTTATATATATATATAATTTATTATATATATATATAAATTCTTTGGACTTGCAATGCCATGACTTACTTGTTAAGATGTATTTTTCTCTCTCCACTAAAATTGCACTAATAATCCTGTCTAGAAGGGATTTTACCACAAAACTGACAACTTTCATTTATTGAGCATTTATTATGTGTCTGGCACCATTGTAAGTATAGTATGTTGATTAATTGATCTAATTCATAGCACAAATTTATAAGATGCATGTAAGTAAACTCATTTTAGAGATGATGAAACTGACGCAAAGAGAGGTGAAGAGAAAGCTTTCAGCAGAATCACCAGGCTTCCTACCTGTCTGGATTTCTGAACAATTGCTTGAAATCATTCCCACGAAGCCTGTGTACCATAAACTTAGTGTTTTTTAACTGAAGATGGCCTCATCGAGGATTGAGGCCTCTTTTAGGAAAGAGCATCGCTCTGTGGCCTTAAGGGGTTCTTAAAAATTCTTACCATAATAAGCTAAGAGGCTTGATGCAAGAAAGAGGAAAGTTGCACTTTGCACAAGAGTCGTACCTTTCCAGCCAGTATTGAATCATTTAAATATCCCAGTGATACCTCTTGAGTCATACAGGCATTGCTTTCATAAAAACTGCCAAAGGGGTATTGTGGAATAATGGACTAGGTTCTGTCTAGAGAAGTGGGAGCCCTAAATTTCAGTCTCAGCTTTGCCTCTCACTTCGCAAATGACCTCTCTGGGCCTCAGTTTCCTCATGTTTTCATGAACATATTCTCCACACTGCCTTTCAATATTTTTTAATGCAATATGTTGATCCTAAAGAAAAGATGTCAAAGCTCGTATTATGAAAGGAAACAAGTGGCAGTATGTTTAATACACAACTTAAAACATCAGTGGTTAGATGATGAGACATATACAGAAAGTCGTCAACAGCTAGAGACCATTGTTTTATATATTAATAGAACCTGGATTCACTTCCAGGGTGAGTGCTGGCTTCTGCTAGGAGGGGAGAATTCTTACTCCATCTTTTTGTATGAACTTGCAGCATGTTGCATTTGTTAAATAGAAATAACTGCAAGTGATGGGCTTCAAGGACAAAAAGACAGGTTCTGTATTCCAACAGCAGTTTGGGCTCTTCTATCTGAGCACCTGCTAAGTTGTTCCTGAGCTTCAAAGTGGTGTCCTATAGAAGTTTTACATATTTGCTTCTAAAGACCTAAGAGCATTGTGGTTTACTTGACAAAGGTACTTAAAAGAGAAACCAAATATTTAACCTACCTGAGCTCTTCCGACCCTGAGACTTATTTATAAATTAAACAAATATTTATTGAATATCCACTACCTGCCAAGCTCTAATCTAAGCACTAGGGATACAGTATTTGAGAAGGCACACACTGTTGCTGCCCTCGTGGAGCATATAGTCTAATGAAGAGGACGAAACTATAAATAGGCAAAAAGTATATGCATAACAGGATGTCAAGTTAGAGGTAAGTGCTATTTAGATTAGTAAAGCAGGGTAAAGGAATAGAGAAAATAACAGAAGATGCTATTTTTAACAAGATGATGAGAGGAGTCCCTTTCGAGTTGTTGTCATTTCAGCAGAAATCTGAATGAAGTGACTAAGTGATCAATACAAAGATCTAGGGGAAGAATATTCCAAGCAAATGAAAAGCAAGCGTGAAGGTTTTAAGTTGGAATAGACTTGATCTGTTGGAAGAAGAGCAGGACAGCCAGTTGGCTTGAGTGGAATAAACCAGGGCAAAATGGTAGGACGAGGTTATGGATCGGACACATTCTATTATTCCACTAAATTGCGGTCAAGAGTACCTTTACATTCCATACTCAGAGTTCTTGAACTTGTCTACATGCATACAATGTAGCATCAGGTATTTGAAGTTGCAAATCATTTTTGCCACCTCCAACTGCACATCATTTGTTCCAACAAAACAATCTCTTTCCATTTGCCTTTCTTTCCATCTCTACCAATATTCTTTCCTATTAAAATGTTCTTTCCTCCTTTTCTCTTATTCGCCTTTCAGTGGAGAATATCAGATTACCTTTGTGTTTCTTCTTAATTGATAAAGATTTTTTATTTGTTTTTGTTTTGCTTAATGTTTCTTATTTTAGAAATTGGTACCACCGTGCACTTCAAGCAAAAAGGTATGGTTCTTATTTTTGGTTACCTTCCATATGTCAAAATTAAGATTTCACAGCAATATATTGTTGTCTTATATACTTGAGTTTCAGTGGAATAATTTGTGATAACAATTTCCATAACACATCTAGCACTGTTTTTTCCAAATTGTGAACTTTTTCATTTACAAAAAGTTCCTGATCAAACCCATGACCCTTATATTGCTCTTGACAGTAATTTATTTTTAAATCCCTGGAACACAGCAAGTTATGCTTTGCGCTGCTCCCTGTTCCTACTTTCCCTTTCTTAAGTATTCATGGTTCATTCTGACAGAGCTGCAATTTTGGAAATGCTCACTGCCCAGTGACAGGGCTCTCAGAAAAGATGCAGAGCCTATTTTACATTCACTTGTTGGCTTCATAAAACAGACCCTAAAATGCAAGTAGTTACTAATTCTGAGGTGCTGTCTTTACAAGTCCAATAAATGCTAGTCCCTAACAGTGTCTAACCCCAGACCAGAGCCACAGAGGTACCTATGTGGCCAGACCCCACCCTCTTTACTTCCTGATGGTCATCTACATGATTATAATTGTCTCATATGAAGGCATCTTCCTCTCTGAGTCTCAGAGGGGTGAGACAACCAAGATCACTCTCAACTGTGGAAATCTATTCTTGCGGAACTTACATCCCACCAGTGATCAAGAGCCACAGAGATTATGGACACTTTGTTGCTTACTCCCAAGAAAGGGCCAGCACCGTATTTATGGCCAGTGCTAGAAGGTCCTCACTGAAGGCAACAGGGAAGAGGCAGCCATGAATATATACTTGGAAACAGGATCATTTGAGGCCTTCAAGAAGGCATAAAATATTGTCCCTTTCAGCCTTTCTTTTCTTCTCAATGCCACGATTACCAATTATGTTTTAATCTTAAGTGGCTAGTGTTATATGTGATACATTATGGCTTTGATATGTGGTTGAAAAAATAAGGCATAGCATTGTTTTTTATTTCAAAGACAAAATAAACTGCCAGTGTCACCAGAAGTTCTACGTATTGGACTAAAATTTTAAAAACTTGTATGCCAAAATACTTGCTGCTGTGTTGATGAAACAGATGTGATGATTCTGACTTTAATGTGAGAATATTACCAAAATCTCGCTTTATAGAGAGTAGAGAAAATGCATAAAGTGCTAAAGAAAATGTAGGAAGAGCTCACATTCAATTGATTTTAAGACCCATTACTCAAAGAAAACATCGATGTAGTAGTTCCCACTTATCCTCAGGGGATATGGCCCCAGGACCCCAGTGGATGCCTGAAACTGCAGATAGTACAGAACCCTACCTATATACGCTATATTTTTTCATATACATACGTATGATGAAGTTTAATTTATAAATTAGGCCCCGTAAGAGATTAACTACAATAATAATAAAACAATTCTAACAAAATACTGTAATAAAAGTTATGTGAATGTTATCTTTCTCTTTCTCTCTCTCTCTCTGAACATCTTATTGTACTGTATGTACCTCAGGTAAGTGAAACGGCAGAAAACAAAGCCACTGATAAGGGGGGACTACCGTATTTCCCCTCCTCTAATTTGCTCCAGCCTGAGCTTTAATCCCCAGTTCATTCACCCAGAGGAAGCTGTACTGGCAGAAAATGGACAGCAGGTGGCGCCAAAGTCAATTTTATCAGGCTTCCTTCTAAATGCATCTTCCCAGGATACCAACATGCCTTAGTCCGCTGGGCTAGATGCTACGGGAGGCAGATTCTTAGGAGACTGTGTAGATTACTGTTCTCCTTTGTTAAACAAGTATTTTACAAATTGTTTAGAATTTTGTTCTATTTTCAGTCACTCAATCAGCCCTTAATAATTCTAAGAGAATTCAAACTTTAACTCCTCTGGCTTTTTTTCTCGTATGGCTGAACTACAAACTGGAATAAAATTATGATTTATCTTGATTTCTTAGTGGCTGAAAGGAATATCCAAGGATCACTGAAAGCATAATTGACAACCCCTTTGAATGAATTTAGTCCTAAATCCAAGAAATGGGCTCCTAGGAGGAGCAACAGAAAACCGTTGACCAGATTTGAATTACAAAATGTCTCTAAGCATACGCTAAAACAGGTGTTGAAAAATCACCTGGTCCTTTACTTGAGATTTTTCTGAAAAACAAATCAATTGGCTCCAGATCCTGAAACAAATTTATAGTCTAGAGACTTGCCAAAAAAATTCTCATATCCCTCAGTTTCAGAATGTTTTATCTATCTTGCCCTTAATCACAAATTCTCTTTCATTGTTATGGGAAAGTGCAATCCAGCATTCACCTGGACACAGAATCTAACTTATTCCACCTTGGGGTTGAGAACCTTGACCTGGCATGTTGACTTATGATTTGCAGTCCTGCTGCAGCTGAATTTTGCTCCTTGAGTCAACATTAAAAGCCTTGACCCATTTCACAAATCAATGCCTTTGATTCAGGTTGGTATTTCATCTCTTTCTGTAATCCAAACTTCTGCATTTGGATTAGTAATAATACAATTTACTGAATGTTTACCAGATACCACATACATCAGTGGGTGTGCACATATATAACACACATATAGAATGGATTGGATACTAAAATATAATTTTTGTCTGTTATATGAAAAAGACATAGCAAAATTTGAATTGTGGTTCTATTTGCCCATCTATTCTTAAGGCTAATTTATGTTTGCAGACTCTTGCTTTCATTTTATCTGTCAGTATATGAAAGCACTTGCTGAGCTTGGCCATCTGGTGTGGGAAATAAGATTTATCATTTGCATTTCCACAAATAAGCAGAAATTTCATAACTCTGAAGTAAAACATAATTAATGATTTTGCTGATTATTCTTCCCTGAAATAGCCATTAACTGAAGTAGTCTCCTATGCAGTCACATATATCTATAATTGCATACACACTTGTGATGATTTCCCAACTACCACCCATTTACCCTTGTATTTTTAAGCCTATTTATTTACTCTCAAACCCAGTTATGAAAAGAGTAAGTCATATAAGTACACTAAATAGCTATATGAGAGCACTTAATAAATAATAATTGATAGAGATGAAGATATCTTTAACTGATGCACAAAATAAGTTTCAAATATACTTATACATCACTTAATGACTGGGATACATTCTGAGAAATGCATTATTATGTGACTTCATTCTTGTGAACATCATAGAATATACTTACACAAACCTCAATAATATAGCTTATTACACACCTAGTATATATGGTATAGCCTATTCCCAGGCTAAAAACCTGTAAGCATGTTACTATAGAGAATACTATGGGCAATGGTAAGTATTTGTGTATATAAACTTATCTAGACAGGAAAGGTATGGTAAAAATGCAGTGCTATAACTTTATAGGACCTCCTTTGTATACGTGGTTCATCTTTGACTGAAATGTAATGTAGCATATGACTGTATATAATAATATTATGAAGGATAAAATTAAAGATTATTAACATAGTTATACTGAGATTCCTCATTATAACATAGAATAGCACGTGAAAATAACAGTTAATTCTGAATTATTTGTAAAAGATCAATAATATGTGTGTATATCATTTGCATATATAAGTATATAACATATACTTTGTATGTATATGTATGTATACATGTATTATCAAGAATGTTATATGTGAACATGTTTATCTAGGTTCATATATTCTGTAACATATTTTTCAATAATGGAATTTTGGCTTTCTCAAATACTTATCACTGTCAAATAAAATGATAAGACTAGTCTTAACCTTCCCAAGATATCATTCAGCTCCAGGATGTCTACAAGATAAACTAGCCTGTCCTTGCACTAAAAATGAGATTGAGGAAATCAGCAGAATTGGACCCTTTCTGAAAACCTTTTGTTTTACACTATCTCTGGTGCAAACACAAGTATTTTCTGCCTAACCCTCTATGGCTTTAATTTTTGTGTAGTTTTTCTCTGTTTTGAAAACCTCATCAATACACAAATACAACCAAACATGCCAAGGAGCTCTTGCCATCTAGTGTACATAGAAAGACTAAAAGGTTAGGAAAGTAACATTCCTACCAGCCCAAAAGCCCTGGGGGAAGTTGCCACTAAGAGAGCTTGAAGGTCCCAAAAGTCCAAAAAGGGTGGGAGTAGGAGACATAGAAGTGGATTAGGAAAGGCCTTGAGATGACTTAAGACACTTGAATTTAAGCACCTGGTCAACAATTACTAATCGGGTGCTTTCATGCAAGATACAGAATCTCATTGAACCTTAATTCCTCATGAAATGCATGAACCTGAAGGTAGCTAAGGTGCCTTTTGTTAATATGATCCTATAACAATTCAGAAAATCAGATAATTAATTTATTGAATCTTTATTCTGTGTTTCCATAGATTTACACATAATACAGCTCATTTTATACTGTATGCTGATCAAAGTTTGTATATGTTCATATTTTTATATTGGGTGATGTTTTTAATATTCTCAAGAAGGTATTCTAGCCAAAACTCTCCTATCAAAAATCTTCTTTGCAATGATAGTAGTTGTCTCCTTGTTTTTGTTTGTGCTGACCATTTTAATCAAACCCAAGTTTAATTTGCTGAATGTTGACAGGAGACTTACAGTCACCCCTTTACTGTGTAGTACTTACAGGCAAAGACTCTGGAGCCAGATACCTGGGTAAAAACCCCAGCTCCTCTGCTTACAAGCTGTGTAAACTTGTACAGTGCATCCAATCTCCCTGTGCCTCGATCATTTCACTGTAAAACAGGTTTCATCATAGTATCTACCTTATAGCATGGTTGTGTGCTTATATTTATAAGGCAGTTGTGACAAAATCGTGTAGTAAGTGCTGTATAATCGTTTGTGGTTTCGTTCTTATTGTTGTTGTTGCTTTTATTATTTACATAAAGCATAGATTAGGAGACCATGGAATTTGGCATTTTTCCTTGTTATCCTATCTCCAATTGGGTATGTTTGTAAACAGTTTTGGAAAAATTCACATACCAGGGGATGCTTCCATCATACCTGCAAACCATCATAGTTTTACACACACACACACACACACACTCACACATAATCCATCTGCATACGCACTCTCAAAATTTTTAAGTGACTGACAATTACAGTCACACCAGTTTCTCTTTTGAACATCATTGTTTAAGTATGTAGTCTTAAATCCAAAAGTCCCTGTAGTGAAAAATACTATTTTTTCACTTTAATGGAATATGAGCAGAACTATACAAATGGAGAAAATGGAACAAGCAAAGCAGAGATGATAAGCTCTTCTGCCAGACCACTGATTTCCTCCTCCCCAATCCTCTCTTTTATGAACACACAAGCCCCTTCTCCAGCTTCCTATCCATCCTATTTCCCCTCTCAGACCCACACCCACATCCCCCAAATTGTGTCCACATTGGGAAAACTAAGGTGGCAGCAGGAAACACGGATGGCCATTCCAGGTTAATCTGGGTGAGTTCAAATCTCAGTTCTGCTCATGGTTTGGACCTGCCTCTCAACCTCTCTAGGTGTGTTTGTTTATTTTTGTTGTTATCGTCTTTGTTTTTGTTTTTGATTTTTAAAGTGACAAATGAAGAGTTTGGAGGAGTTGATCCTTTGCTGCCTCTTAAGATTTTAAGATGTATTGACTTATTTTCTCCCTTGCTAAGGTACCATCTAGCCATAAGCATTACTTTAAAACAGTTCCCCTCCCCATTAGCAAATAAGTAATTACTGCCTCCCCCCGGGGACAGAGGGAGTCGTGGATTGGTTCCATGCTTTATTGGTGGAGATGCCATGATGAATTGGCCAGAAGACCCATGTCTGACTGCTGGAGGACCCTCACCAATGCTTGGAACCTTAACGAGTGCTGGCCCCAGAGAGTTACTTCGGGCAGGGCCAACAGGAGGAGGCTGGGTGAACAGGAGCCTGCTGTACCATCAGACACATTAGTGATAGCCAGTTTAAGGACTTACCCGGCAAAAGCATTTTGTATTTAGAAGTGTTTCAGCCAATGATGCCCCTTAGGATACTTGTAGCCCAAGGAGGAGAAGGATTTAGAAAAGTTTTGAGCGCTTCTTGGGCTGCACATAAGTGCAGTAACTTTGAGATGCTAGTACCTGGCCAGGTCTTACCTCTGATACCATCAGCAGTCAGCTATAACATACAGTGGGCCCATGTAACTCATTCTCTTTTTCTCTCTCCTCTTTTGCTCTGCAGGACCTGGGTCGGTGAGAGGAATAAATGGATCCATCAGTCTGGCCGTACCACTGTGGCTGCTGGCAGCATCTCTGCTCTGCCTTCTCAGCAAATGTTAATAGAATAAAAATTTAAAAATAATTTAAAAAACACACAAAAATGCGTCACACAGAATACAGAGAGAGAGAGACAGAGAGAGAGAGAGAGAGAGAGATGGGGGAGACCGTTTATTTCACAACTTTGTGTGTTTATACATGAAGGGGGAAATAAGAAAGTGAAGAAGAAAATACAACATTTAAAACAATTTTACAGTCCATCATTAAAAATTTATGTATCATTCAGGATGGAGAAGGTTCTACTGGGATATGTTTATATCTACTAAGCAAATGTATGCTGTGTAAAGACTACACCACACTAAGGACATCTGGATGCTGTAAAAATAAGAGAAGAACCAGATGGATATTAAGCCCCCCAACACACACTTTATCCTTCCTTCCTTCATCTTTTTTCATCTGTGGGGAAGAAAATAAGGTCTTGCCTTTGGTGTTTATATTTCCATAACCTTTTAATTCTATTTTTCATTTGAGCTGACTTGTAGCCACTTCAGACTATCAATGGAATCTTATGTTGAGCCTTTCTCTGGCTTTCCTTCCTCCACTATCTCTCCAACTTTAGAGATCATCCCCTCTCCCTCCAGTGCGTTCTATCTCCCCCACACCCACCCTAGATACTCCCTTTTCACCCACCTTTCCTCCCTCACCTCTCCTCACCTCCACCCCCTCCCCAGAGCACTAGTCATGCCGCAAATGCTAGGAAGTGCCATTTTCATTTTCTCCACTGTGCGTGTGTGCTCAAGTCTTTCGCTCTCACGTGGGTGTACATGTGTGTGAGCGTGTGTGTGTCTCTCTCTAAAGCATGCCAAGGGAATGGTCCATGTGTACATAGACTCATTGTGCTGTAGATACTGTCCTGCATTGTAATTGTGAGATGCGGCTGTAACAAGTTGCTGGGGGAGATGGCGGGGAAAGAGGCAAGGAGCAGAGTCCTCCCTACATCCATGGCTGTCACATGGCATCAGTGTGTATTCAAACCAAGCTATGCTCCTTCCAAGGGCAGGACCCCATATTCCTCCTAGTCCCATCATCAGAACCGAGTGGGGAGTCACTCAGAATATCACTGTAAATGAAAGTGCCTACTATCGATGGGGTAAGCAAACAGCATAAGGAATTATGACGTGGACGAGGTGACCTAGGAGAGAAAATTTCAGATTTTACTCTCATTTCATGAGTCTGAGGGATTCTTATATTTCCTGGCATTTAACAGGGTAGGCCCTGCTCCACTGTGAAAATGAGCAGCATGTGTTGAGTAAATCCCCAGAAACAGGAAGGTCTCCAAGTGTCAACTCCCAGTGAAAGAATGATGAACCACTTGGAGATCCTAAGCAGCCCTGTTTTACCTCCTCCCTAATCTTAAATAACATTTGTCCCATGAATTCCCCTGAGCAGAGATTGTTTCCTATTTCAGATAAAATACAGTGAAAGTGAGCAAGGCAGAAAAAGTCAACAGATGCCCAGGCTCCTACTGTATTCTGGAGATACTGTCAGAGCTCTAATACAGAGCACTGGCCATAATGAAAAGCAGTTCACTCCTTGTGCTCCTCTGCAGATGTTTTTCCCAGTGTTCTAGGTTAATGTTTTATTTGGTTGCCTGCATAATCCCTGTTCTGTTTCACTGATGGTGTTTGCAGCACCACTGTTCATGGTGGTCCACTGTTATCCTATGCCAGGGTGCTAAGAATTGCATGATATTCATCTTCCCTGCTCTATTTAAATTTACATCTATAAGAGTCATCTTGACATTAACACTGAAATGTGATCTAGGTCCTTAACCAAAATTGCTGGGCAACTTGTAATAAATTTAGACAGAAATTTTATGAGTACCACAAAGCTTGGTGTTACCACATCACCAGAAGGATTTCTTAGGAAATGTCTTGCCGAGAGAGCTGGCTCTCTGCATATAGATGTCTTTGTCAGAAAACCAACCCTTGCTCTCACTTACACAGTAGTAAGCACTGAAAGTGGTTCAGTTCATGAGAGGACAGAGAATTATTTTGAGATTATATTTGAATGTAATCTTGCAGAGCCAAATATGGTATGTCATTAAGTTGGAACCTTGTAAATAGCTGTTCCATGTTATAAAATGAGAAACTTTGTAACTGGAAAAAAAGAAAGGAAAGAAGGAAGGAAGGAAGGAAGGAAGGCAGGGAGGGGGGGACGGGGAAGGGGGGGAGGGAGGGAGGGAGGGAGGGAGGGAGGGAGGGAGGGAGGAAGGAAGGAAGGAAGGAAGGAAGGAGAAAGGAAAGGAAGGCAGGAGGGAGAAAGATCTAAGTAGCATTGTTAATTTCTTCAATTTCTTCTAAGGGATTTTATTGTTTGTTTTAGAAGCTTATCACAGCCTTCTTTCATGATTTTGCAGTTTAGACTTGATACAAGGAAAAATTCAGCTTGGGGATGGTTAAGAGTGTTTATAGCAGATTCTGACATAGGAGAGAAAACAAATTCTCATCCAAGAAGGTAGCTAGTAAAATATAGGGAAGGTGAGCCATATTCCTATGCAGCATCAATTTATTGACAATCAGGTATTTCTCTTAACAGTTTGGTCTTCTTAGTTCAAGAATAAAGGGTATCATCTTTAATAATAAGCATTCCCCAAAAATTGAAGAGGCAGTCACACACTTAAGTGTGTGGCTTTAGAAAAGCGCATGCTAATTTAAAGATATACAGGAAGAGAAAAGTAGGAGTTAAGTTGGATGTTGTTAGAAGTTGGATGTTAGTATTACCTTCAGGAACAGATCCCCATGGCATGTCACAGGCCTTAATTATATACCTGGCTTTCTTATTGTCTCCACTTTATCATGAGGACAAGGTCTTGGTTTCATGGGAGGAACTTCTCCATTGAAATAAATGTCTGCCATGTCAGCACCGTTTGTTCCCTCAGTTTTAATATAATGGACCATATATTAAACATAATTAAACATATATTTAAATGTGGTGTTTGCCTGTGTCTCTAGCAGGATCTTGAAATTTTAAAAATTTGCTTCTGGTTCCTGTTTCAGAGAAAACATTGTCCCCAGAAATTTCATAGGATTGAAAGTGTTCCCTAAGCAGTGTGAACAATGGAGGAAAATATAGTTTAGAGAAAAGTCAGGGAAAGGTAGGGCCAGAGGACTGACACCAAGAAATCATTGAATCTCAACATAAGACTTCTTGGAATTTAGTTAATCATATTGGAATAAATTCCTTCAAGAATCTTGTCCCTTGGTAATCAAAGTTTGAAACCCCGCACTGAAAAGCACCAACTGGTTGGAAATAATATACTGAGAGGAGTGAAATTCATCAATTAATCTGAGTGGCTAATATATTTAATATCCTTTGTATACAAAGTAAAACTCCACCATTCGTAAAAGGAAATCCTTAGACCCAACTTTCAGTTAACAAAAACAGAAATGACTTTGACCCAGGGTGCTTCCTGAAGAATGAGAACTATCCAGGGCTTTACAACTGCAGAATTGTAATTATGCTCTGTGCAATTGTTGAGCAAAGGTTTTGCCTTGCTGGATAAAAAGTCTTGTTTGTTTCGAGACATGAAATCCCCATGTCTTAAAAGAACTAAGGCTTATAGAAAAGCAGATGGGTTTTCTCTCAGGAAGGACTGCCCCATTGACCTTTGCCTTCTCTTCCAAGTCAGACAGACTTCTCGCTTGCCATGGGCATTTTTTTACTACATAGTCAGACTACTGGGGCTACTTATAGAGACCTTGTAAAAGTACTCGTGATTTTCACGTTCTTGGAGGACCAAACAAAAATCTGTTTCTCCTCCAAAAATGGACTTACCTCCTTTGCACACAAAAGCTAAACTCCTCAGCATGAAATTGTTTGAGTTATTACTTTACCAAGTTGTGAGCTTCTTGAATCCTCCAGAGTCGCAGATTCCATCCCTGAGTTGGTTGTGGTTTCACTGTTTCTATTGGCTATTCTCCCTGAATTTTTCATTTTGTTCTTTGCAGGGCTCGAATTATTTGTGGAAAACAATAATATATATGTGTGTGTATTTTTTATCTTTATAGATGCTATATTTACAATAATGTATGTATTATAAGACAAATTAAGAATAATGTTTTGATCTTAAAAGGAAGAAAAGTACTGAATTTGGTTGTTTAGAAAGAAAATCTATGCTCACGTAGAAAGACATAGAGCCCCACTTTTTCCGTTTTGTAATTATTTGGCGAAAAGAAATTTGCTTATAGACTATGTTTAATGGGATTAACCATGTCCTCATTTTTCTTTTCATCCTCATACACTTTTAGCCTGCATTTAGTCTTGGTTACCAATATCATTTTTTAAGAGAAATGTAAGTACAGTGCTATATCTTACCTACATAAACTATTAATATTTTGAAGACAAATGTGAAACACACCACAAAAATGGTGAGATAAGAAACAAAAATGCAGTTTAGGAAGCCTCCTCCTTGCTTAAATGTTTAGAATATTTCTTCTCCAAAGACTGCATTTGCCTCAGTGATGTAAATTTTCCATCATGGTTGGCATAATATCTGTAAACATCTCACTAAATGCAAAATGGAGTTTACATTTATGTGCATACTAGCAGAAAAGAAGTAAACTATTCTCATTTGCATGTAGCTATGCTGTTCAAATGTCGCCAACCAAAATTTAGGAAAGAATTTGTTTTCACCCAGCATGTACATCTCACTTTTCTCTTGGCAAGGAAGCTGGTGTTAACGTTGGGTTTAGGTTTAACATTTACACCAGCGAAAATGTTTATGAATATTATGGAAAACTTATTTTAAACCTTGATTTCTTTTGAGCACATTTACATGCTGCGTGCTGATTAATAAATTAGGCACCAATCATGTGTAAATCAATGTAAATCACTAGTTTATGTACATAATATAAACTATGTAAACTTCATTTTTCATGCAGTGCCCAACTACTGCTAAGGTTTACTATGATTCTTAAGGAAAAAAAAATCAAATAAAAATAAATAAAAACTGAAACGTTTCACAGTTCAGAATCGGAAGAATTACGACTAAAGCTCCAAATATGAGGTTGCCTTAGCCAAAGGAAGCAGACCCACAGGAACAGTTCAAGGTTTATATCCTGCTCAAGTCACCTCTTTGGTCTTTCAGGATCTAAGTGGAGATTGTCCCAACTGTTGCTGTAGTTGTCTCACCCGACCCCAAAGCAAGGGAAATAGAGGGAAAGGTTTTAAGGGCTATATGTCTGCTGTATCCACTCCCAGCTATCTTCTTTTTACTCCTTTCTCACCATCTAAGATGTCTTATTTAAATAGCTCCAAGGAAGTGACCTAAACCTTGATGAGCAAAATATTACTCAGTTTTTATTTTCCATTCAACAAAAGCAGTGGGAAAGCTTGCCATCTGGATTCTAAGAAATTGTGCAATATAAAAAATGTTATATCCTCGAGAAATATCTTGCTGAGTCACCCTAGGAAATAACTACCTTTTATTTATCTGGTAGCCTAATGTTTCCACACATTTATCCTGAATATTGCAAGTGAGGGACTGAATCATTTTTAATTGGGAGTTATCTTTCTCAGGCATGTTCTCTTGGAGTCTTTTTGAAGTGCCTGACACGTGTAACAGGATGACATATATATCATTCCTACAATATGAACAACTGTTACATAAAAAATTATCAAGGAGATGATTTCAGGAAACAAGTGAACTTTCTGCAAAGACTTATAAAAATTTTAGGTCAAATTAACTTCAGGCTTTAAATGCACTAATCTACCTAAGAGAAAAAAAAAGAAAAAAAACAGGAAGGAGTTTTAAGGGCTCATGTGCCTGTTGTATCAACCCCCAAGTGTCTTCTTGGTACTGCTTCCTCATCATCTAAGATAAACTGACAACTTTAAAGTGAGGTAGAAGGTGTATTGAATTGGGAGTCAGGAGAATTGGGTTCTAACCCCAAGTTCAGCCACAAATAAAGCTGTGAGACATTGGCAAGTCATTTAACTTTCCTGAGTCTTGGTTTTCTCATCCTGAAAGTGAGGGATTCGGCTGACGTCTCTAAAATCTCTTTCAACTCTAACCTTTATTCTGAATAAGAATTTAATATTCACTTAGTGCTGTGCCCAGCACTGTTTGTAAACAGCAGCTGTTTGTTATCTCTAGTTTGGTCTCTGTATTCTCATCACTTCTCAGAACTATCATTCTACCGTCTTCATTTCTAAACCCAAAACTGCTAGAATACAGGGACTCTGGACTGGGTCTGTAAATTTTTTCTGATCAAAACTTTATAGCAGTGTAGAGAAGGGACACATTCAAATTACACTAAGGACATTGACATAGCTGGGGTTGTTTCCTTGTTTATATTATAAAACCTAAATGTGGAACTATATTCTAATAATCTTTCATAGGAAGGAAAATAGCCAGACTGGGTATTATGCATGTAACAAATGAGGACATTGTGCATAAGAAAGGAAACATTAGTTTTCTGTCATCCTGGGCCAAGTACCTCATTACAGTAAATGTGTGTCTTTGGAAACTCTTTGCTTGTGCTGATGGCGGTAAGCATGGGGTCCCAGGCAGGTTCAAAGGCTGAACTGTAAGAAATGGGCAAGACAATACATTTTGTTTTGGAAGGAATTTCTCATGGGATAAGTTTCCCAAAGCTTGAATTATAGGCTATGAAATAAAGCAAATAGATGGAGAGAAAACAAGTATTGTTTTCAAAAAGTACAAGTCAATTCTATTTAAAGAAGACAAGCTGAAAATAAAACAAAAATAAACACAATTTAGGAGGTTACAGAGTTGAAGACAGTATGAATTGTTGTGAAGGCCAAAATCAAATGTGAAAGTTAGGTTCTCTGAGAAAAGGGTAAGCAGAAAGGATGATTTCTCAAGCAATTAATAAGGAATTATTTTCTTGTGCCATGTTCTAGATGCATTGAGCACAGATCCTCTTGTCCTAAGCTGTCCTAGAGGCTCAGGTTAGCATCTATCCAAAGTTGTCCTTTGATTTTATTGTCTGAAAGAACAGAAGGCATCAGAGTTTCCAGTCACTGAAGAGTAGGGTTTGTTCATCACTTCCCAGCAATCACATCACTTTGTGTAGGTAAGGATATATGATGTGCTTAGATTACTTATGAAGCTCTCTCTAAGTGGGAGAATGACCTGTCCATGGGACAACTCCCCGTTTTCATGGTCATTTCAGAAGTACCTCTTTTTGGGCAGTGCTCCTGGATCTACTTCTACAGCCACATTCTACTCTGCACAATCCTCCCTATGTAAAGCCAGGCACAGTACAAATATGCTTCTTGCAAGTGAAGAAAACCCATGGAAGTCCTAGCTTCATGGCACGCTGCAGCAATCCCAAGCTACCAGGAGCCTCTTTTGAACCCACTTCCCTAAGTCTTTGCTCTTCACCAGAGAATGGAAATTGTTCATCCTGGTGAACTGTGGCCAAGTTCTGCTCCCTAAGTATTTACTTGGAGTAGGGAGGTTAAAGGGAAGAAATTCAGGGGGAGAGAAGCAAAAGAGAACACTTCCAACTCCCTCCCCCATCTCCCAATGCTCCCCACCTTCCTTATCACTGCTCTACTGAAGGGTGTATAAATCCTGCTCTTGGTTAGAATTCTCCTTATTAACAGTGTTATATACATATAAATATATATATAAATATATTCCTTTTTTCAGCCCTGTAGACATGAACTGATCTTCCCTTGAAGATACAAACACATGGCCATTTTTTGTTTGGGATTTTTTGTTTTTCAAGGTTTTTCATTTTTGTTTATTAGGTGGATTTTTTTCCCTGGGTACTAGCTCTGTGAAGGAGATAAAAAGCGCAATGTGTGTTAAAAAAAAAAAATTAAAATTAAAATGAAAAAAAGCTTTTTTTCTTTTCTTTTTAAATGTATTTAAATTCTGTTTCTCTCTTCTGTTACTTTACACGTATGAATGCTCTGCTCTTCTGTGATCTTAAAACAAAATGAAATAAACGTGAAAAGGAGATGTGTCTTCATTGACCTGTCAGTGATCTTGTGGTTGACTGCACTGCTTCTTGGAGGTTTTCATGAATAAAAGAGAAAATGAAGCCAATGATATGAATATCATGTAAGGGAAGGGCAGAAATAATACTGAAAAATCACTTGAAGCTCTTCTAACAATGCCTCGTCTGTCACAGAAAGGAACGTGGTATTTACAAGAATTTTCTCCACCTAAGCAAAGAGATTCTGTAAACGTGTTTTTTTTTTCTTTTTCTTTTTTTCCCTTAAGGGACTGAAAGAAATAAGTATAAATTACCACTGAAATGCTATAAATAATTAAGACACTTATGATTGTTAGACTTCAGTGCAACCTTGGGTTATGATACCAAAAACATTAGAAAATATGCTCTTTCTTCAAAGTCTCCATAGTAGTGGTTATCTTTAAGGGTTAGTTTTAATGAGATGCTACCTCATAGCAGTAGAAGGAACTAAGGTACCTTCTACAGCCACCTGTTATTTCTACTTACAAAAATGCAGTTTGTTTTCTATTACTGCTGAGAGCTATGATCTTCACGAAATGTTTCCTGAATCTCTATAGAAGCCCTATTGCATTACACAGGACACATAGAAAGAAAATGAGAAATAAGCAATCTATAGTCCAAAGATCATACATCAGGAGTGACTGGGAGCGTCTGAAGTGCTACTCTTAGGAGTCAAATTGACTTTGAAACACCTCCATGAGAATTAATCCCAAGTTAGGCGGCTGGGGGATGGAATGGAGGAATGAGCACTCATGATGGGCTTCAATAATGGGAAAAGGATCAAACAGAACCAAAATTCCTAGACCCCTCTGGCTCAAAGAAACAGATTACGGTCCCAGTCTCTCCACATTTTGAATTTTATTAAAAAAAAAATCTGGCCTGTAATCCCAGCACTTTGGGAGGCCGAGGCGGGCGGATCACGAGGTCAGGAGATCGAGATCATCCTGGCTAACACGGTGAAATTCCGTCTCCACTAAAAATACAAAAAATTAGCTGGGCATGGTGGTGGGCGCCTGTAGTCCCAGCTACTCGGGAGGCTGAGGCAGGAGAATGGCCTGAACCTGGAGGCGGAGCTTGCAGTGAGCGGAGATCGCGCCACTGCACTCCAGCCTAGGGGACAGAGCGAGACTCCGTCTCAAAAAAAAAAAAAAAAAGCAAACAAACAAACAAAAACTCTGAAAATGTTCTTCTGCAATGAGTTTTTCAAACTCAAGGTTAAAGACACAGTCTCACTTCAAAGACTATTTCACTTCAAACACCAGCTGCAAGATTAGGGTTCTCAAACCACTCTCATTTCTGATCATTTCAAATCCAGGGTTCTTACTATCCTTTAGGTTCAATAATTTGCTAGAATGACTCACAGAACTCAGGGAATTATACTTACGATTTCAGTCTTATTATAGCAAAGAACACAAATTAGAACTGGTCAAAGGGAGAGACACAGGGTAAGGTCTGAGAGAGTCCCTAGTGTGGGGGAGTTTCTATTGTCCTCTTCCTGTGGACTGAAGAAGTACTAACCTTCTAACACATTGATATGTGACAACAAACAAAGTATCACCAACCAGGCATCTAGATTTTTTGTTTTTGTTTCTAGATTTCATTACCTAGGCATGATTGATTGAATGTCCACACCCCCTCCCCTGCCCAGAGGTCAGGCTGATATCATGTGATTCAATGCTTCAATACTGAATTACACGGGTGGTATTTCTAATACGTGCAGCCACCGTCCTGAGTCATCAAGTTATTATGAACTATCTAGGGACCCACACTGAGTCATTTTATTTATGTTATTTATTTTGCTTTTAGACAGAGTCTTGCTCTGTCACCAGGCTGGAGTACAGTGATGTGATCTCAGCTCACTGCAACCTCCACCTCTCAGGTTCAAGCGATTCCCCTGCCTCAGCCTCCCAAGTAGCAGGGATTACCGACACACACCACCACCACGCCTGGCTAACTTTTTGTATTTTAATAGAGACGGGGTTTCACCATGTTGGCCAAGATGGTCTCGATCTCCTGACCTTGTGATCCACCCTCCTCGGCCTCCCAAACTGCTGGGGTTACAGGCATGAGCCACAGCACCTGGCCCACCCTGAGTCATCTTATTGGTACGCACTATTAGGTGTGGTCCAAGAGGCTCAACATGAATAACGAAAAAAAGAACTTTTACTTGGAAAATTCCAGGGAATTAGAGCTTATCTCCCAAGACCTGGGGACAAAAGCCAGCCAGTCTTTATTATATACTAAGGGAGGAGACCACCCCTCATATTGTCTTATGCCCCAATTTCTGCCTCCAAAGAAAAAAAGAAGGAAAAACTAAAAGGCAGAAATGAAACCCACAGGAAGACAGCCCGGTGCCGCACCCTGGGCCTAGTAGTTAAAGACTGACCCCTGACCTAATCGGTTATGTTATCTATACATATCCATACAGACAGTGTATGGAAAAGCACTGTGAAAATCCCTGTCCTGTTCTGTTCCCTTCTAATTACCGGTGCAGGTGCATGCAGCCTCCAATCATGTACCCCCTGCTTGCTCAATTGATCACGACCCTCTCACACAGACCCCCTTAGAGTTGTAATCCCTTAAAAGGAAGAGGAATTGCTCACTCGGGGAGCAGGGATTTGGAGACATGAGTCCGCCAATGCTCCCAGCTGAATAAAGCCCTTTCCTTCTACAATTCGGTGTCTGAGGGCTTCTTGTCTGCAGCTCGTCCTGCTATAATACCTTATATTACCAATCTATCAAAAAAATTACTTGAAGTCTCTAAGTTTTCAAAGATGGCCTGAGATTTTATTTCTTTTAAGCCACAGAAGCTTCAGGGTTACAAAGTCTCCACCACCTTGAAGGTTTGCTATCATTAGTGCCTCAGAAGAAATTACTTCTACTATACTTCCATTTTATACTCCCTTTACATCCATCTATTTTAAAGTATGCCTAAAACAGCATGTGAGAGCTCAAAAGAAAATGGTCTGTGATTCTAAAGGAAAGAGTTTTGCAAATATTTGTCAATATAGAATTAAGTTGTATTCAATTCAACCAAATACACCAACCCATTACACCTGAAATTCTTTTCTATCATCAATCACTGTAACCTCACCATAGCTGTAGAAGATACCTGAATCCAAATCTATGAAAAAAGTGTATCTCTCCCTCATCTGCTAAAAAGAAAATTGTTACACAAACGTGGAAAATATGGTTGCCTATTGTCAGGCCTCTGAGCCCAAGCCAAGCCATTGCATCCCCTGTGACTTGCACGTATATGCCCAGATGGCCTGAAGTAACTGAAGAATCACAAAAGAAGTGAATATGCTCTGCCCCACCTTAACTGATGACATTCCACCACAAAAGAAGTGTAAATGGCTGGTCCTTGCCTTAAGTGATGACATTACCTTGTGAAAGTCCTTTTCCTGGCTCATCCTGGCTCAAAAACACCCCCACTGAGCACCTTGCAACCCCTACTCCTGCCCACCAGAGAACAAACCCTCTTTGACTGTAATCTTCCTTTACCTACCCAAATCCTATAAAATGGCCCCACCCTTATATCCCTTCCCTGACTCTCTTTTCGAACTCAGCCCGCCTGCACCCAGGTGAAATAAACAGCCATGTTGTTCACACAAAGCCTGTTTGGTGGTCTCTTCACACAGACGCGCATGAAATTTGGTGCCATGACTCGGATCGGGGGACCTCCCTTGGGAGATCAATCCCCTGTCCTCCTGTTCTTTGCTCCATGAGAAAGATCCACCTATAACCTCAGGTCCTCAGACCGACCAGCCCAAGGAACATCTCACCAATTTCAAATCCAGTAAGCGGCCTCTTTTTACTCTCTTCTCCAACCTCCCTCACTATCCCTCAACCTCTTTCTCCTTTCAATCTTGGCACTACACTTCAATCTCTCCCTTCTCTTAATTTCAATTCCTTTCATTTTCTGGTAGAGACAAAGGAGACATGTTTTATCCGTGGACCCAAAACTCCGGTGCCGGTCACGGACTGGGAAGGCAGCCTTCCCTTGGTGTTTAATCACTGCAGGGACACCTCTGTGATTATTCACCCACGTTTCAAAGGTGTCAGACCACGCAGGGACGCCTGCCTTGGTCCTTCACCCTTAGCGGCAAGTCCTGCTTTTCTGGGGAAGGGGCAAGTACCCCAACCCCTTCTCTCCTTGTCTCTACCCCTTCTCTGCTTTTCTGGGAGAGGGGCAAGTACCCCTCAACCCCTTCTCCTTCACCCTTAGTGGCAAGTCCCGCTTTTCTACAGGGCAAGAACCCCCAATCCCTTATTTCCATGCCCCAACCTCTTATCTCTGTGCCCCAACCCCTTTTCCCACTTTTCTGGAAGGTAAGAACCCCCAAACCCCTTCCCTCCATTTCTCTACTCTGTCTTTTCTCTAGGCTTGCTTCCTTCACTATGGGCAACTTTCCACCCTCCATTCCTCCTTCTACTCCCTTGGCCTGTGTTTTCAAAAACTTAAAACCTCTTCAACTCACACCTGACCTAAAACCTAAATGCCTTATTTTCTTCTGCAATGCCGCTTGACCCCAATACAAACTCAACAGTAGTTCCAAATAGCCGGAAAACGGCACTTTCAATTTTTCCATCCTACAAGATCTAAATAATTCTTATCATAAAATGGGCAAATGGTCTGAAGTGCCTGACATCCAGGCATTCTTTTACACATCAGTCCCTTCCTGGTCTCTGTGCCCAGTGCAACTTGTCCCAAATCTTCCTTCTTTCCCTCCCACCTGTCCCCTCAGTCCCAACCCCAAGCATTGCTGAGTCTTTCTAATCTTCCTTTTCTACAGACCCATCTGACCTCTCCCCTCCTCGCCAGGCCGAGCTAGGTCCCAATTCTTCCTCAGCCTCTGCTCCTCCACCCTATAATCTTTTTATCGCCTCCCCTCCTCACACCTGGTCCGGCTTACAGTTTCGTTCGGTGACTAGCCCTCCCCCACCTGCCCAGCAATTTACTCTTAAAAAGGTGGCTGGAGCCAAAGGCATAGTCAAGGTTAATGCTCCTTTTTCTTTATCCCAAATCAGAAGCGTTTAGGCTCTTTTTCATCAAATATAAAAACCCAGCCCAGTTCATGACTTGTTTGGCAGCAACCCTGAGACACTTTACAGCCCTAGACCCTAAAAGGCAAAAGGCCGTCTTATTCTCAATATACATTGTATTACCCAATCTGCTCCCGACATTAAATGAAACTCCAAAAATTAAATTCCGGCCCTCAAACCCCACAACAGGATTTAATTAACCTCACCTTCAAGGCGTACAATAATAGAAAAAAGTTGCAATTCTTTGCCTTCACTGTGAGACAAACCCCAGCCACATCTCCAGCACACAAGAACTTCCAAACGCCTGAACCGCAGTGGCCAGGCGTTCCTCCAGAACCTCCTCCCCCAGGAGCTTGCTACACGTGCCGGAAATCTGGCCACTGGGCCAAGGAATGCCCGCAGCCCGGGATTCCTCCTAAGCCACGTCCCATCTGTGTGGGACCCCACTGAAAATCGGACTGTTCAACTCACCTGGCAGCCACTCCCAGAGCCCCTGGAACTCTGGCCCAAGGCTCTCTGACTGACTCCTTCCCAGATCTTCTCGGCTTAGCGGCTGAAGACTGACACTGCCCGATCGCCTTGGAAGACCCCTAGACCATCACGGACGCCGAGCTTCAGGTAACTCTCACAGTGGAAGGTAAGCCCGTCCCCTTCTTAATCAATACGGAGGCTACCCACTCCACATTACCTTCTTTACAAGGGCCTGTTTCTCTTGCCTCCATAACTGTTGTGGGTATTGATGGCCAGGCTTCTAAACCTCTTAAAACTCCCCAACTCTGGTGCCAACTTAGAAAATACTCTTTTAAGCACTCCTTTTTAGTTATCCCCACCTGCCCAGTTCCCTTATTAGGCTGAGACGCTTTAACTAAATTATCTGCTTCCCTGACTATTCCTGGACTACAGCTATATCTCATTGCTGCCCTTCTTCCCAATCCAAAGCCTCCTTTGCGTCCTCCTCTTGTATCCCCCCCACCTTAACCCACAAGTATAAGATACCTCTACTCCCTCCTTGGCGACCCATCATGCACCCCTTACCATCTCATTAAAACCTAATCACCCTTACCCCACTCAACGCCAATATCCCATCCCGCAGCACGCTTTAAAAAGATTAAAGCCTGTTATCACTCACCTGCTATAGCATGGCCTTTTAAACCCTATAAACTCTCCTTACAATTCCCCCATTTTACCTGTCCTAAAACCAGACAAGCCTTACAAGTTAGTTCAGGATCTGCGCCTTATCAGCCAAATTGTTTTGCCTATCCACCCCATGCTGCCAAACCCATATACTCTCCTATCCTCAATACCTGCCTCTACAACCCATTATTCTGTTCTGGATCTCAAACATGCTTTCTTTACTATTCCTTTGCACCCTTAATCCCAGCCTCTCTTCGCTTTCACTTGGACTGACCCTGACACCCATCAGGCTCAGCAAATTACCTAGGCTGTACTGCCGCAAAGCTTCACAGACAGCCCCCATTACTTCAATCAAGCCCAAATTTCTTCCTCATCTGTTACCTATCTCGGCATAATTCTCATAAAAACACACGTGCTCTCCCTGCCAATCGTGTCCAACTGATCTCTCAAACCCCAGCACCTTCTACAAAACAACTCCTTTCCTTCCTAGCCATGGTTAGTGTGGTCAGAATTCTTACACAAGAGCCAGGACCGCACCCTGTAGCCTTTCTGTCCAAACAACTTGACCTTACTGTTTTAGCCTAGGCCTCATGTCTGTGTGCAGCGGCTGCCGCTGCTTTAATACTTTTAGAGGCCCTCAAAATCACAAACTATGCTCAACTCACTCTCTACAGTTCTCATAACTTCCAAAATCTAATTTCTTCCTCATACCTGACGCATATACTTTCTGCTTCCCGGATCCTTCAGCTACACTCACTCTTTGTTGAGTCTCCCACAATTAACATTGTTCCTGGCCCGGACTTCAATCTGGCCTCCCACATTATTCCTGATACCACACCTGACCCCCATGACTGTATCTCTCTGATCCACCTGACATTCACCCCATTTCCCCAAATTTCCTTCTTTCCTGTTCCTCACCCTGATCACGCTTGATTTATTGATGGTGGTTCCACCAGGCCTAATCGCCACACACCAGCAAAGGCAGGTTATGCTATAGTACAAGCCACTAGCCCGCCTCTTAGAACCTCTCATTTCCTTTCCATCATGGAAATCTAACCTCAAGGAAATAACTTCTCAGTGTTCCACCTGCTGTTCTACTAATCCTCAGGGATTACTCAAGCCCCCTCCCTTCCTTACACATCAAGCTCGAGGATTTGCCCCCACCTAGGACTGGCAAATTAGCTTTACTCAACATGCCCGAGTCAGGAAACTAAAATACCTCTTAGTCTAAATAAACACTTTCACTGAATAAGTAAAGGCCTTTCCTACAGGGTCTGAGAAGGCCACCGCAGTCATTTATTCCCTTCTGTCAGACATAATTCCTCAGTTTAGCCTTCCCACCTCTATAAAGTCTGATAACAGACCAGCCTTTATTAGTCAAATCAGCCAAGCAGGTTTTCAGGCTGTTAGTATTCAGTGAAACCTTTATATCCCTTACGGTCCTCCGTCTTCAAGAAAAGCAGAACGGACTAAAGGTCTTTTAAAAATACACCTCACCAAGCTCAGCCACCAACTTAAAAAGGACTGGACAATACTTTTACCACTTTCCCTTCTCAGAATTCAGGCCTGTCCTCGGAATGCTACAAGGTACAGCCCATTTAAGCTCCCGTATAGATGCTCCTTTTTATTAGGCCCCAGTCTCATTCCAGACACCAGACCAACTTAGACTGTGCCCCAAAAAAACTTGTCATCCCTACTATCTTCTGTCTAGTCATACTCCTATTCACCGTTCTCAACTACTCATACATGCCCTGCTCTTGTTTACACTGCTGGTTTACACTGTTTTTCCAAGCCATCACAGCTGATATCTCCTGGTGCTATCCCCAAACTGCCACTCTTAACTCTTGAAGTAAATAAATAATCTTTGCTGGCAGGACTATGCTGAATCTCCTTAGGCACTCTCTAATCAGATATCCTGAGTCGTCCCAATTCTTAGACCTTTTATACCTGCTTTTTTCCTTCTGTTATTCCATTTAGTTTCTCAATTCATCCAAAACCGTATCCAGGCCATCACCAATCATTCTATACGACAAATGTTTCTTCTAACATCCCCACAATACCACCCCTTACCACAAGACCTCCCTTCAGCTTAATCTCTCCCACTCTAGGTTCCCACGCCACCCCTAATCCCGCTCGAAGCAGCCCTGAGAAACATCGCCCATTCTCTCTCCATACCACCCCCCAAAAAATTTCGCTGCCCCAACACTTCAACACTATTTTGTATTATTTTTCTTATTAATATAAGAAGGCAGGAATGTCAGGCCTCTGAGCCCAAGCCAAACCATCGCATCCCCTGTGACTTGCACGTATAGGCCCAGATGGCCTGAAGTAACTGAAGAATCACAAAAGAAGTGAATATGCTCTGCCCCACCTTAACTGATGACATTCCACCACAAAAGAAGTGTAAATGGCTGGTCCTTGCCTTAAGTGATGACATTACCTTGTGAAAGTCCTTTTCCTGGCTCATCCTGGCTCAAAAACACCCCCACTGAGCACCTTGCGACCCCCACTCATGCCCACCAGAAAACAAACCCCCTTTGACTGTAATTTTCCTTTACCTACCCAAATCCTATAAAACGGCCCCACCCTTATCTCCCTTCGCTGACTCTCTTTTCGGACTCAGCCCGCCTGCACCCAGGTGAAATAAACAGCCATGTTGCTCACACAAAGCCTGTTTGGTGGTCTCTTCACACGGACGCGCATGAAACCTATAAGCCCAAGACTGAAGTCTTACTGGTTGTTGCTATGAAGAGGAAATGAATTTCTCTTCACTTTCCTTTTTAAATTATTCTCTACTCTTCTCCAGACTGGCTACTGGCCAATTGGGATATCCTTTTATCAGTCAAAGCTATGTCCTGGTCAATGGATTTCAAACTGTTGAGGATCTATGGTGAGCACTGGGGACTGTGTCTGAGAACGTTCATTGAGGGACATCTTCTAACTCACCTTTTACAAACCCAACCATTCTCAGGTGCTACCAGAGAATGTAAGGTGCTGCTGATTTGCCACGTGCTTTTAAAACAAGGAAGGTTATTATTAACTCACACGATCACAAGGTCCCACAACAGGCCAACTGCAGGCTGAGGAGCAAGGAGAGCCAGTCCAAGTTCCAAAACTGAAGAACTTGGAGTCTGATGTTCAAGGTCAGGAAGCATCCAGCATGAGAGAAAGAGGTAGGCTGGGAGGCTAGGCCAGTCTCTCTTTTCACATTTTTCTGCCTGCTTATATTCTAGCTGCACTGGTAGCTGATTAGATTGTGCCCACTCAGATAAAGGGTGGGTCTGCCTTTCCCAGCCCACTGACTCACATGTTAATCTCCTTTGGCAACACCCTCACAGACACACCCAGATCAATATTCTGTATCTTTCAATCCAATCAAGTTGACACTCAGTATTAACCATCACAGGAAGTATACAAATTTGACTTAGCCTTGTTATCTTTACTTACTATCTTTATCGTTTTACCTGCTCACCCTGCCCCTGCCTGGTTTCCTAGGTCAAATTAGGAATTAATCTTACAGCAAAGACCCCCTATTTCAAAAACAGACAAACAAAAAACCTCTGTCTCAGTTTCTGCCTGCCCAAAAGAGATGTTTCTACTAGTCAGAACAAACATCAGAGATGGACTTTGATCAGAAACTCAGGAAGTGGGAGAGGATGCAGGTCAGGTTAAGAGAAATAGTGCAGTTCCAACCCTGGGCAGCCCTAAGTAAGAGTCATCAGAAGCTTCCAGGCAATTGTCACTGAAAAATAAGTGCTATAGCACTACCTCAGCTGCTGCAACCACAGACCTCATTCAGAAATCTTTATTGTATTAACCCTTGTGTGTCCGGAATTGGTGGGTTCTTGGTCTCACTGACTTCAAGAATGAAGCCTGGGACACTCACGGGTGAGTGTTACAGCTCTTAAGGTGGTGCGTCTGGAGTTTGTTTCTTCTGATGTTCGGATGTGTTCTGAGTTTCTTTCTGGTGGGTTCGTGGTCTCGCTGGCTCAGGAGTGAAGCTGCAGACCTTCGCGGTGAGTGTTACAGCTCTTAAGGCGGCGCGTCTGGAGTTGTTCCTTCCTCCCGGTGGGCTCGTGGTCTCGCTGGCTTCGGGAGTGAAGCTGCAGACCTTCGAGTGAGTGTTGCAGACCTTCGAGTGAGTGTTACAGCTCTTAAGGTGGCGCGTCTGGAGTTGTTCGTTCCTCCCGGTGGGCTCGTGGTCTCGCTGGCTTCAGCAGTGAAGCTGCAGACCTTCGCGGTGTTACAGCTCATAAAAGCAAAAAGATGGGACTGGGGCACCTTGGAGCAGGGGGCGGCGCTCATCGGGGAGGCTCGGGACGCACAGGAGCCCACGGAGGGGGTGGGAGGCTCAGGCATGGCGGGCTGCAGGTCCAGAGACCTGCCCCGCGGGAAGGCAGCTAAGGCCCGGCGAGAAATCGAGCGCAGCGCCGGTGGGCTGGCACTGCTGGGGGACCCAGTACACCCTCCGCAACTGCTGGCCCGGGTGCTAAGCCCCTCATTTCCCGGGGCTGGCAGGGCCGGCCGGCTGCTCCGAGTGCGGGGTCCGCCAAGCCCACGCCCACCCGGAACTCCAGCTGGCCCGCAAGCGCCGGGCGCAGCCGGGGTTCCAGCTCGCGCCTCTCCCTCCACACCTCCCTGCAAGCAGAGGGAGCCGGCTCCGGCCTTGGCCAGCCCAGAAAGGGGCTCCCACAGTGCAGCATGGGCTGAAGGGCTCCACAAGTGCTGCCAAAGTGGGAGCCCGGGCAGAGGAGGAGCAGAGAGCGAGCGAGGGCTGTGAGGACTGACAGCACGCTGTCACCTCTCACTTGGACTTTAAGTCCTTGGACTATGAACATTCCTATTTTCTGTCTCTTAGACAATTAACTCAACCTGCACTTACTATTCTTAATATATAAACCCCAGGCTCTATATTAACAATCATGAGATTACAGAGCCTTCAAGCAGCATTGATTTACCCAGATATATTAATATTTGGGCCAATTCTCAAAGAAAAACAAACATATTTTCCAGAATCAAGACAACTCACCAGAAAAAGGACTGAGAACTCCTTCTGGATGAAGATACTTCCTAGGTGCAAGAGAGTTGAGTTGTACGTTTGAAAAAGCTCATTATAACCATGCTCCCCAGGTCTAGACAGCCCCTCTTCACTTAGCCCTTCCCCACCAGCTACACTGCCCTGAACCTACCAGGCCTGATGAGTCATGTAGCCCAGCCAAGAAGTGAGTCAAGGGGAGACATGAGTCATAGACATTCAATACACATGGCACTCCCAAGACACAAAGACTTTTCTACGTAAACCTCACTCTCACTGCATATCCATGTTCTAAGACTTGGAGAATCTGTCTCAGGGTACAACCGGTGACACAATGTGGAAGGACACTGAGCTCTTGCTATGCATCTATTACTTCTTTGTTTCACAAACTCCATTTTCCAGCGATAAAGCCTAAACCAGCCTTCTTATTGTTGTTCTGAAAAGATAAAGTATTTATTCTTAAATATCAACATCCTGGTATTTTTTTCCTTTTCAGTCTTAATTTGCGATAGTATAATGATACTTTCAGGAAGACAAAATATTTGTTTACCAACTAGTTGGACTGTCAAGGATCCTACTTACCCAATTCTGTCTTATACCCTAAATGAATATTTAAAAGAAATGACAAATGAGAACAAAAGAGAGTTAGTCTCCAAGTACGGTTGGTGTTAATAATACAGGCATGCGGCCTCAGGGCTGCTGTGAACAGAAACTGTATCGGCCTTCTCTGTTTAAAACAACATACACAGGCAATAAGTTTCTTACCTTCCCAAAGTCCTTTCGAAAATAAAAAGTAATAGAGCCAGAAGTTAAAAAAAAAATCTTGGTGGTTATAATCACTGTTTTCATTAACATTTTAAATGGTTATTCTTAATGATTCATTTAACTAAAGCTAGCTTATCCATGGGAAGAGAATATAGCCATTAAGATCGGCATCTGTTGCACAAACTGAGGCTTCGCATTCAGTGATGCATGATTATAACACCAAGAATATTACATGCTAACAGCAGACTCATTAGCATTAATTGCTGCATTTAGTCCCACTTAAAACCTCCTATATCTGTAACATTTGCTAAATATATCATTCTTTCTGAAGTAAAGACACCCTACAATACTATTACCTAAGTAACAATGGAACTGATTTGAGATGGGCATGTGTATTGTAGTGAGGACAAGAAAAGAAAGTAATGCTGATAACCCTGGACAAACAATTTGATGCTAGAAAGCTGCCACTTGTTGACATGGTGCAAAACTCAACTTGGAAAGGGAAGGTCATTGAGAAGTGTGTGGCAGCTACAGATACAAGGCTGCTTCACAATAGTTAACAGGTTTTTCTACGTGAATAATGGAACAGACCCTGGAGAGGTGTGAAAACACAGATGCCTGGGCTGTGCATTCAACTCACTTGGTCATTCTGAAATCTTCATGAAGGAACTGCTGGGCGCCAGGCACCATGCCAGTTCACTTGCTCCCTGAGGGCCAGCGCCTGTCTTTATGGAGCTTATGTCTGGCTAGGAAGGCAAATATTTAATGAAGATTTATAAGTCAATCTTTTCATGATACAAATAAAGTACTTTAATGACCCTTTCACTGTCCTGCCATTTTGTCAAACATATTATGCCTGGAGCTGGGTCTAGGTGGAACTGGGGTCACTAAAACACGGGACTCTGAACACCCTCTATGAATCAATAGGGTAGCTTCTCAGAACCCTTTACCATGGGTGATGTCCCAATCCCTCCTTTTCCTTTAAGCTATTTGATTCTGAACTGTACTTCCTGCTAATCTCTGAACATCTCTCTCTCTCTCTCACACACACATGCACGCAAACACGCACACACACACACACACACATTGGCTTTAGACTCCACACTGTCCTCCATCATTATTCCCCCTGGAATTCTCCCCACTTAGTAACTGTCACTAAAAAACAAATGAGTTTAGCGTTTCAGCTACTCTCTTGTCAACACACAGCCCATTTACTCATTCATTACCCAAATATTTGTGGGTTCTTATTATTTGGCTGGCACTGAGCTAGGGGCTGGGACACTATGGTGATTGAAGGTGAATACTGTTTTTGTCTTCATTGCTACCAGCTTACTCAGACTTCAGGTTGAGAAGAATGTGTTTGAAAATGTGTAAGTGAGATGAAATTATGCCAACAAGTCAGCATTGCATATTGAAAGAAATGACTAAGACTCGAGTATGTGGTATATCAAGGGATTGCTTTAATGGAAAGGAGATGATAGATCTGCAAAGGAAAGTATATGAATGCTTTTTCTATCTTCACAGAAGGCTAAAGCTCTATAACCATTGAAAGCTGGCTGGGGGAAAAGAAGAAGAGGCAAAAAGATCAACTGAAGAATAAACTGCTGTCATTGGCACAAAAGAATACCACAAAGATTATTTACAAAACTCGAATCAGGAGTAGAACAGACCTCCATGTGGAAGTTCAATTATGCTAAGAGGAAAGAGGAAAGGGGAAGAGTTTACAGAAATAAATTAATGATGATGATAAACTATTTTCAAGCCCTTACATTTTTTTTTTTTATGGAGTTTCGCTCTGTCACCCATGCTGGAGTGCAATGGCATGATCTCAGCTCTCTGCAATCTCCACCTCCCTGATTCAAGCAATTCTCCTGCCACAGCCTCCCGAGCAGCTGGGATTACAGGCATGTGCCACCACGCCTGGCTAATTTTGTATTTTTAGTACAGACGGTGTTTTGCCATGTTGGTCAGGCTGGTCTCGAACTCCTGACCTCAGGTGATCCACCTGCCTTGGCCTCCCAAAGTGCTGAGATTACAGGTGTGAGCCACCGTGCAGGGCCCAAGCCCTCTCATTTTATATGTATTATTTTCCTTAATCTTCATATGAATTCTGTTTGTTGTTTATATTATTAGTCCTATTTTACATAAAAGAAAATGGATCTTTTAAAATTAATTACTCTAGGAAGTGCTATGGTTCGAATCTATTCCCCCAAAGGCACGTGTTGGAAACTTAATCCCCAAAGTAACAGTGTTGGGAGGTGGGGCCTAATGAGAAGTGATTAGGTCATGAGGGTGAATGGATTAGTGCAGTTTTCATGGAGAGGGTTGGTTATAAAAGGAGGATGATGCAGCAAGAAGGCCCTTGCCAGGTGCAGCTCCTCAGTCTTGGACTTCCCAGCCTTCACAACCATAAGCCAAAAAATGTCTGTTCATTAACAAAATTGGCTAAGACAAGAAGTAAATGGACTGAAATTCAAACTCAGATCTGTCTGCCTTTACAGACATTGCTCTTAAACACTACATTAGCTCCCAAACACTAAGAAAAGTTGCCAGTCAGAAGATTATAAAAATGCTATGCAACGAAGCAGTACATATCATTTCACAGAACTTCTTCATACAGCTATCTTAGGCAACCGAATACTAACAATTACATGTAATCATAATTAATAATCATGGCAAAACACTAACAGCTCGTGTTTCACAGGCAAGGCCAATTGAGACTCAGAAAATTAACTTTCTGACTCAAGATCACACAGCCAGCTGAATAATAGGACTCCAGCACCCAATCTCTGGGACTTCTGGGTCTAATATGAGTGTTGTTTCTGATATAGACTTCTCTATCCCTGTGGAACCTGGAAGACTACTCTCAGTAGCCCATGAGAATATGCTTGGAGAATCTTAGGGACTAATTTATGTTCTACCAGATTTCTATGTCAAAACCCTAACCCCTAGTGCCTTAGAAAATCTATGACTATTATTTGGAGATAGGACCTTTAAAGAGGGAATTAAGGTTAAATGAATCAATTGAGAGTGGTTCCTAATCCACTCTGTTTGGTGTCCTTATGAGAAGAAGAGACATAGGAATGTGCATGCACAAGGGAAAGGCCATGTGAGGACACCACGAAAAGGTGGCCATCTGCAAGCCAGGGAGAGAGGCCTCAGGAGAAAATGAACCTGCTGACATCTTAATCTTAGACTTCCAGCCTCCAGGCAGGACTGTGAGAAATACATTTCTGTTGTTTAAGCCAGCTGCACTGTGGTATTTTGTTTTGGTAGCCCAAGCAAACTAATTCAAAGAGCAAGTTCACCGCTCTATGTGAGGTTTTGTTAAATGTTCTCACTTTTCAGCCCTACGGTGACAGTTACTATGGAGACATGTATTCTACTCTCACTCCAAATATGAACGCAAACCACTGAGTCTTATAAAGTGATAAATTTTGTGTGTAGGGGTAAGAAACATTGGTAGATGTGTGTCAGGGTGGGAGAATATACATACTGTGAGATTTTATATACATATATGGATATGTGTGTGCATATATACACAGTATACATATATGTGTGTGATATATATATTATATATATATAAAATCACTGCATTTCTACTATCAATAGAAAATGCAGTTCACATCCCCATCCCATAAAGACCTAGATTCACAGATACATATAAGTTCTTTGTGATGAGCTCCCTTTAGGGCACAGCAGCGGAGCATAGATCTGAGCAGGAGAGCAGAGAACTGAGAAGCACTCATTGACTGCTACCGTAGACTCAACTTGGCCACAGCTTCAATGAACCCCAACTAAGAGTAGGGCTTCCTTGGCTGAAACCCTGATGGAGGATCCTAAGCAAAGGCACTAAACAGATTCAAGCAGAAAGACATATCATGGAGGAATAAAAAGGAAACTAGGGAAGTGAAATGTAAATGTTCGCATATTAAGAGGATAATTAAACAATTATTTAATGATTTGGAGATAACATAGTCAATTGGTTCTGAAACACTTGTGGCAAACATCCTTTGTCTCTATGGCATTGTTTTGCCTTTGCTTCAGGGAGCATCCTCTGAGTTTGCAAAGCATGTTCACTTATATTATCTCTGTTGAACTTCAGAACAACTGATTGCGGCAAAAATATTATAACTCTCCCCCTCTCACATAACCATGTCAGAGAAAGGTTTTGTATTTGGAAGTCCCAAAGCATTTTTCTCTTCTTGTTGTTTATGTGCATCATAATCCATTTACTAAAATTATGAAAGAATGGTTTATCTCCAAACTGAATTCCTATCCTCAATAATCCCTGGGCACGCCTCAGTATGAAGGTCAAACACGAAGGATGGCCACTCTCCTCAGAGCTCCCTCTGAATGAATTAAGCAATGCTGACCCACAAGATGTCCATCCTCTCTATGCAATCACACAGATAGGCAACCACCTCTCAGTATGCCAAAATAAGCTGTACTGACCAAAATATTTTCATGAAACCATTTGTTACGGTAAATGAGTTTGGGCATTACTGCCCACGCCCATATGCAATGATTTATCTTCTGCCAAAACAATTTTTATCATCCTGTCCAGACTTTCTAAATGTGGCCCCCCACACACATACTTGTGTGGGGGGTAATGTTGGCAAAATAGTAACCAAGAATGGGGTATAGAAAATCCCTTTTAACCTTTTTGCCACCATAACAAGCTATAGCCTAACACAGATCCTGCAAAAACTCTCTCTTTCTTTTGTTCTTCTAGGGAAAATGAAAGGATTAGGTCAAGAGTTACAGATGTGATCCAGAAGAACCTTTTTTTGTGGCTATTTGTGGCTGTTGGGGCTTTGTTTTGCTTGTTTGTTGATGAGTAGGTGGCAGAAGCCTTTTCAAGAGTGTTTGTCACGTACATTTGGATTCTGAGCAGCTACTGGTCTATTTCCCAAAGGACAAGTGAGCCCACAGAGGTCAGTGGAGAGAGGGAGAGAGTGTGTGTGTGCATGCTCATGAAACGTGGATCAGAATAACAAAAGCAGATGTAGCTGATGGCAGAGGGGCAAGGCTGGAGTTAATAAACCAGCACGCACAGAGGGTTCTGTCAGATGCAGGGAATGCATGACATAATTGTTTCTGCCTCTAATGATCTCAGTGATGTGGGAGACATGAGAATATTAAAACAAGACAGAAAAACGGAAACTCATTTCTAGCAGCTGCCAAACAAAATGGGACGTAAAGCAGGAGAGAGGTATATTGAAATGTTCACAAGGTTCACTTCACCAAAATGAAACTTTACCTCTCACGGATGTCAAATCCTCACCTCTCTCTCATGCAGAAGTCCCCTCCCATTTCCCATCAAACTGTTGCTCCCTGCATTCTTTCTGCATCCTTCCCTGTCACTCTCTTCCCTCGTCACTGTCACTTTGCCTCTCTTGCTTTTTAATCTCTTTCATTTTTCCCCTTCCTTCCTCCCTTCTCCATTATCCTGTCACCACAAACATGCTCTTACAGTTGTTCTCCCCCCTTCCCTCTCTCTCTCTCACACGCGTACACGCACACAAGAACATACACGCACAGACCACACCCCTTCTCATTCATTAGTAATCAACCTGGGAGCCACATCTCCTAATCCCAGCAGTTGAATGGAGCTGTAAAAATGCTCCCTTTGAAAAACACCCAGAAGTGACGCTCCCCGGGCTGCAGGTGGGCGGTGGTGTCGGCGCTGCTGCGATGCTTGCTCCTGCCACGAGGGGGCAGCAGTGCGCGCCGAACGCCGCGCTGCCCGTCGGCGCAGGGAAGGCGGCGCGGACGGCTGCTCACCCGGTGTCACCCGTCACCGCGGCTGACAGCCTGCGTCAGGATTCCGCCCGCGTCCCAGGCGAGCACGGAGGGGCGCAGAGAATAAGCAAACGATTTCTGATGAGTGCGGGCGGGGTGAATTCCGCCTCGGGCTAGTACAGATAGATCTTTTCCAGAAACAAAGGAGTGAGTCAGGCCGCCTGTGAGTCGAGAAGGGAGAGAGGCAGGGCTGGGCGCGACCGCTCGGCCCGGCCGCCTAGCTTCTCCCCGCCCGCCTACCTGCGCCCTCCCTCCTGCCCTGCGGCCCGCGCACCCCCCGCCCACCCGCTCGCGCTGCTGCGGGGCTCCTTCCCCAGGCAGCTGCAGGCGCCGCCCGGTCGGGAGGAAGCTAGAAGGCGGTGTTGCTTGGCCACCTGGGGGCGGGGATGGAGCCGGCCTGCAGAGAGGGAGCGCGGGTGTGTTGGGGGCAGGGTGGGTTTGCAGCCTTTCCTAGGGGTGCGGCTTCCAGCAGTGACGGCAGGGTGAACTCGGCGGCAGGGGGCGGCAACGCTTCTGTCAACCGGCAGCCTCCGCGTGGCTGGGTACTAGAGCTCTGCACATGTTTGTCATAGGTCAGCTCCCCCGACACGCGCGCGCACACGGGGTCCTGGGGTCTTGTTGCGATTCCGCCCCCTTTTACTCCAAAAGAGAGGTAACAGCGTCAACAAGCAGAATAATAAAAAGCGTTTATCGAGTGCTACGCGCAAGGCAGGCTCTGTTTTTACAGTAAATCTATTATTAATTTTAATAAAATGATAGTAAATAATAACAATATGCCCAAATGATGCTGATTGATAACTATCTTATTTCCTTCGTTTTAAGTTGAGAGGATGCAGAAGTATTTTTTTTTCTTTTTCAAGAAGATAGCTAGGTCTGGTTCTCCCTATTTCCAGAGGAGCAAGATGCCTTTATATTTACTCGTGTTGGAAAAACTAGGGTTATAACTACTGTTGGACAGGATTCAGCCTCCGGGCTGTTTTCCCTCCGTGCATTTTTTTTGTTTTCTTTTGAGACGGCGTTTCGCTCTTGTTGCCCAGGCTGGAGTGCAATGGCGCAATCTAGGCTCACTGCAACCTCTGCTTCCCAGGTTCAAGCGATTCTGCTGCCTCAGCCTCCTGAGTAGCTGGTACTACAGGCGTGCGCCACCACGCCCGGGAAATTTTTGTATTTTTAGTAGAGACGGAGTTTCACCATGTTGACCAGGCTAGTCTCGAACTCCTGACCTCAGGTGATCCGCCTGCCTCGGCTTCCCAAAGTGCTGGGATTACAGGTGTGAGTCACCGTGCCCGCTCCGTGCATATTTTTTAAGTGGGAATTTTCATGTAACTGTCCCAATTTACAGCATCCCTTGAACAAGAGAACATCTAGAGACTTGACCTAAATGGTAACCCCATTGGTGGGAGTTGAGGAGCTGTTACTGCCATTAGAAGGGGCAAGTGGCTCTCCAGTTTGCCACAGTACCCACCTTGCCCTAATACGGACTGTTATTACTTGAAGCTGCACCCCTGGGGGAGGGCTACAAGTCAACCCTTTCTTCCCTAACACACACACACACACACACACACACTCACTCTCTCACACAATCTGTCTCTCAATCTCTCCTTTATTTATAAAAGTAAATATTAGACCATAAGTTTCACGAGAGAAGGAATTGTGTCTTATATTTCTTTTGAATCCCTCATAGAAATTCACTGATCTGGACATATTGTAGATACCGCTAAGAACTGCTGAATGGAAATCTGTTGAATAAAATGAGCAATGGAACATTATTTAAACTGTCAGGCTACCACAGATATTGCATCCATTATTTTTAAGGACTATAAAAACATTCATACAAGGCACAACAATTTCTGCTACACGTGCATGCATAAACAGAATTTGATGTTGAAAGCAAAAAAATGTACAACAAAATTAATGTATATGTACTTAATTATAAAAATAAACATTTTTGTTCCTTAGTAATCAGACACAGTAATAGTCTGAGAAATACTAAAGAATGATAGAACTACTCTTTTGTAAGCATTTCAATCTATAGCAAGTTTTGAGCCTGCTATAGAGGTAAAAGAGATATGATGTGATAAAAATGTAAATCAAAATCATAGTGAAAAATAAACTAATATTCTTTTATACTGTATGGAAACTCTAGCTATGCGATACTACATTGCATATGTATCAGTTATAGTTCTATTAGGGAAGTAGAACCATTGTGAGTGATATAAAACCAGGGATTTATTATAGGGTTTAGATTCTATGCAATTATGAGAATGTGTTAAGTAGTCTAAGGCCTCTGCATCTACTCTTGGGCGTGAAGTCTGCAGGGCTGACGATCAAGAAGGAAAGATGCATACGAAATGGATACAGCAAAGAAAAAATGAAACTCATAGTTGTTTCTCATGGCCTCCATGTAAATGACTTGCAGCATAAACTGACGCTTTTCACCAAGGAAACATACACATACCTAGCCAGGGATTCAGAGAAGCAGAAGCAGGGGTATCTAGCAGGACTTGAAGGAGCCCATGCCAACAGGGTGAACCAGCAGATCAGTGACAACTTAGGTGAGCCTGGTTTCACACCCACCTTCAAATCATAAAGATAGTTGGTGCTTCTTTTCTGCCTTCCAGATCTTGTTCATTTTTTCCTTGTGGCCAGTCCTGACCCGGAAACAAAAGGAGTTCTTGGAAATGTGGTTCCGGTTAAGCAAAACAGACACACATAAAGCCATAATAAAGGAATCTTTAAGATCGCAGCATAAAAATCACTGCGAAACTTGGGCTAAAGCAGGGTATTTTGAATATTCAAAAATAAATCATAAATATATGGGCGCAAATAATATATTTTTTAGTTATTTATCAGATTACTTTCTTAATCTGGGGGCATGGGAATTCAGTGGAGAATGAACAGCAAGAAGGAAAAGTACTCAAGGTGATTTGAGAGGATGGACTCCAGAGGATATCACAGATTAATTTGGGTGGAGTCACATAGGCCAGGCATTTTAATAGGATTTAAGACAAGGGGAACTCAGTAGGGCCCTATGAGACAGAACTGTAGCTTCAGATCATAAAAAGAAAAAATAAACATGAAGGAAAACTACCTATTATCTCTCTGGCATAAATGGCAAACACAGAAAAGGCCAGCCACCAACAATGATGCTGGATGATGTTTATCACCACACTGAAAACTGCACTTTTAACTCTGCCCCTCACCACCTGCCCCTCTTTCAGGCTTCTCCCTCTCTGAAACCGACCCTGCATCCACCCGGTTTCTCAAGCAAAAAATCTGGGCATCAACCTTGATTTCTCTTCCCCTCATTCTATCTGCTAACTTAGTCAACTCTATCACCAAAATAGATCTTGAATATTTTCACTTCTACTGCCACCACCATAACACAAACCTGATCTACTGTTACAGCTTTTTAACCGATTTCCCGCTTTCATTTTTCTCCTTCTTATCCATTATCTGAACAGCAGCCAGCATGCTAGTGTAAAAAGAGGAATCATACTATGTATTAAGCGCATAATATCTGTATTTGATAGTATTATGCTGGATGCCAACATATGGGTTCTAGAGCAGACCATATTATTATTTGCTTATACACAGGACATACCAGCTACCCTTTGCCCCAGTTCTTACCCCCAGGGCAATATAGTGAAAACTGAATGTCATGATACATGTGAGGGAGTTTACTGCAGACAAAGGGCCTGACTACATGAATCTGGGCATTTATGTAGGAAAAAGAGGGACAGCTGTCCCCCCATGTCTAGCCTTGCAACCTGGAGATGTCTCCATGGTCCTGGTTCTTATCACACCTTGAAATGTAAACAAATATGCTTCCCGATTAAAAAAATCTGCCTAGTACTCAAGGCCTTGTCTCTGACTTTTCTCTCACTTCACTTCTGTTTCTACTGTGCTCCATTCCCACTGCTGTTCTTGTTTTCTCGTTTTGTTTTGGTTTTTGTTTTTTGTTTGTTTGTTTGTTTGTTTGAGATGAAGTCTTCCTCTGTAGCCAAGCACAATCTCCGCTTGGCTCACTGCAACCTCCCACTCCCTGGTTCAAGTGATTCTCCTGCCTCAGCCTCCCGAGTAGCTGGGATTACAGGCATGTGCCACCACATCCAGCTAATTTTTGCATTTTTTTTAGTAGAGATGGGTTTTCATCATGTTGGCCAGGATGGTCTCAATCTCCTGACCCCATGATCCTCCTGCCTCGGCCTCCCAAAGTGCTGGGATTACAGGCGTGAGCCACCGCTCCCGGCCCCCACTGCTGTTCTTTCTAAAACACGCAAGTTCGCTTCTTCCTTAGAGTCTTTGTGCTTGTTGTTCAGTAGTTCTTTGCAAGGCTGGCCCCTTCTCATCATTAAAGAATAAGTTGAAATAAAACTTCTCAGAGAGGCCTTCCCTGACCATCCACAATACACAGCACGTCAGCATCTTTATTACATCATCCTGTTTTACTTCTTTCATTCCAATTAGGATTATGAAAAAATCTTACTTAGGGAATTATTTAATTATGTATGGCTGTCTTCTCAACCAGACTGAGAGTAAGGAGTTTTTCTTGTTTACTACTGTGTACCAAAAGCACATCGCAGTGTCTATCGCATAATAAATGCCCCCAAAATATGTGCTAAATGTCTCAATACATATTTTACAGAGTTTAGTCAGGGATAATTTATACACTTTTAGAGCCAGTTTGTCATTATATCTACTCATCCACCATGTGGGCTACATTATCAGAAAGGAATGATGCCGCAGTGGAAAGTGCATGGGCTTTGAATGAGAGTCATGCATTCAAAAACCAACTCTACCACTTACTTACAATGTGACCTTCTTTTTCTTTGAGACAGAGTCTCACTCTGTTGCCCAGGCTGGAGTGCAGTGGCGCGATCTTGGCTCACCGCAACCTTCGCCTCCCAGGTTCAAGCGATTCTCCTGCCCCAACCTCCCCAGTAGCTGGGACTACAGGCACACACCACCATGCCTGGCTAATTTTTGTATTTTTAGTAGAGATGGGGTTTCACTATGTTGACCAGACTGGTCTCGAACTCCTGACCTCGTGATCCGCCCACCTCGACCTCCCAAAGTGCTGGGATTACAGGCGTGAGCCACCACGCCCGGCCTGCAATGTGACCTTCTATCGATAAGAAATCTGAGGCTTTGAGAGATGCAGGGACTTGTCTAATGGGGACCATAGCACTAACTTTACAGAATTTTTGTAAGAATAAAATGCCAAGTGCCAACACAGATATCAGCATTCCTCCCTTCTTCCCATGCCCTGCCAGCCTCTGTCCTCTCCATTCCCTTACTAACAACTCAAAGAGTCATCCTGGAGTCCCCTTTGACCTCCAGCCTCACCCACATCAATAATCATTGATTATCGAGATAAGTAAAGAATTGTTCTACATGTAGAGGGCCTGTATGACACATCTCCGGTCATGAGGTACATATATCTAATGGAGTAATCACAAGATACAGATGCCTGCTTTTCTGGTTCTCTGTTTAAGACTTCACTGTTTTAACAAGAATTCCAGGGAACTCTTTAAACTCATATATGCTGATACTCAAAAGCACCAGTCTTTGATCACCCTGTGGTGATAATGAACTTGTTTCATACTTTCTGATTCAAAATTAAACGTATAAATAAATTACCGTAATTCAATCCATCTGCTAGTATTTCATACTAAATAAATATTTAAATAAAGGGTAAGTGGTTTGAAAGCATAACATGCTGAATAATGTAATGTACTATGGGACCAGGCTCTACCAAAGAAGTTAAAGTCAGAATTGGCCACAAGCCCTCAATGGGAACTGTTATTTTTTCTATAGATATAAAACGAGTAATGCTCATTCATTGACGTCTCAGTACTAGTGGGCTCCAAACTTTTGATCATGCATCCAATCTGGAAAAAAAATAATTTGGGCATATGTCCTCATGTATATTTATTTATAAAGTATGTAGCTGCATTTCTGTACTAATAAATTATATATCATTTAAAGCATACACAAATAATAAACCTTTTTAAAGAATGAAGTAAAAATACATGAATAAAAATTTGAATATTTTCTTTTTGTACTCTATTGGATCATCTTGCACATACTCTATTTTAGAGATTACTGATAGATCTAGTTGTTTTTTAAATATTTTTATTAGGTGGAAAAATTCCGGCAAAATGTTAAAAAATGAGCAATTACACAAGTAAACTGTCTTGTGTTTTGATATGACCAAGGAAAAGGGATGAGAATGGAACAGTGGATCCATGACTTTCCCCCGACACCCACCCTATCACCCATTCCATGCTGTACTTTACAGGGAGAAAGTACAGCAAAAAGATAAGAGGAGAAAAGACTTCACATAAACTCACTTTGGACATTAGGCACTTTCTCTTAACTAGACAATGAATATGGGATCCGGATTGGAAAAATGGTCTAGGGACTGAGTTGTGATAAAAATTTTTATCAGTTAGGACCATGGCAATTATTATTGCTTTGGGGCTTAAATGAAGCTGCTTCACAGCATAGAATTTATCTTTTAGCAGCTCCACCAAGCACCTAGGTAACAGGAATTAAAGTGGAGGGTAAGTAACACTATGGGGCTAATTCTGACAAAGGAGATATAGAAAAGGGAAAGGAACCAGCAGATAAATCTCTATCTGCTTCCCTCCAAGAGATCATTCTGCATTAGTTAGGTCCACCTTGCCTTGTTCAGAAATTGTGCTGCGTGACAGAGCAATGGGCTGTGTTTTCTTAAGTGTGGCTACCTTGGTAACATGCCACATTTGCAGAGATGGTCTGGTCACATCTGGAACCTAGCCCACTTACAGCCCTTATGATAAAGGGTCACACCTGAGATCTGAACCAAGTATTCACACACCTCCAGCCATAGTCTTTGGACAAAAGATTCAAGGCCATCTCTCCACTACTGGACAGCTGCTTATGGCAGGTCAAGAAGGAAAGCTGGGCCAGCTTCTTTTCCTGGGAATTTCGGGTTGGACAATTCAACTGAATGATGTTTATTGTCTGTGAGTACTGGAGTTGTTAATTCTGAGGGCTCAAGTGGCTGCTTTGGGCCATGGTGGTAATACCTCCCTAGAAAAAAGAAAAGAGCAGCATAAAGATGAGGTTAGAAATGATTAGATAAGCCCAGAGAAAGAGAGACTGATAAAGAAGCTGCCTTGTTTCTTTGCAGTTCCCAGATACACTTTCTATGGGGCCCAACTATTCTTTATTTATCATATTTGCATTGTGGCAGTCCTGTCTGTATTCCTACATCTTTTTCTTGCATCAACTTATATGAGTCTCTGTTCCCTCCAACCAAAAATGTCCCTGACTAAAGTGTTGTTGCTACTCAATATCTATCAAAAGCTCAGCTGAGAGAGCAGGTGAAGCCTGAGTTTGCAGTGCATCATTTCTCTAGATACTACACAAATCCACCTCTGGATTAAGTCAAGCCAACAGAAAGCTGCAAACTGGATGTGTTTTGTGTTGTCAATCTCTTCCCAATTTCCATAGAATAGCTTCTTCTAAATTGTATCTAGGGTTATACCAACAGCTCTGTTTTGAGGGACTCTTTAAGAAGCAATGAAATGCATTGCCTCAAATATATGAATGTTGTTGAGGAATATGCTCATGATATTGTGGTATTCTTCTTATAAAAACTCTCAAGATGCTGAGGCGGGTGGATCACCTGAGGTCAGAAGTTCAAGACCAGCCTGGCCAACATGGTGGAAACCCCGTCTCTACTAAAAATACAAAAATTAGCCCAGCGTGGTGGCGTGCACCTGTAATCCCAGCTCCTTGGGAGGCCAAGGCAGGAGAATTGCTTGACCCCAGGAGGTGGAGTTTGCAGTGAGCCGAGATGGCACCACTGTACTCCAGCCTGAGCGACAGAGCAAGACTCTGTCTCAAAAAAAAAAAAAAAAACCAAACAAACAAAAAACCTCTCAGGAGAAATATCTTTTTAGTCTAAGAAATAAACCTATTTCTTATTGAGAAAAACTCATATTTTGACATAGAAATAGTTTCAGAATTTATATAAATGAATGCTAGAAAGCATAGAATAGGAATCTATTTTTATATTAGGGTCATTTATAATTCTAATTTATGTCCTGACCCACTATTTAACTTTTTAAAAATTTGCTTCTAATTTATGTTACCTATTGTATGACATATATCATTGAACCCATCTTAAATGCTTTCTGGAGTAGCGAAGATGCAAAATAAAATATCTCCAATACTGATAACACAGATAGCAAAAACTTATGACATTATTTATGATAATAGTCTTGAAAAAAATCAGAAAAGTCAGACTCATACAAACATTAATTAGTTTTTAATATAAGACAAGCTATCTAAGGTAACAATTCAGAGAATTGCTAGGTTTCAAAAGCGTTGCTTGTTTCTACATCAGGGAGCTATCAAAGACACGACCCAATACACACACACACACACACACACACACACACACACACACACACACACACACAGAGAGAGAGAGAGAGAGAGAGAGAGAAAGCAAGAGAGAGAGAGTCATTACAGAATAAACCCAAGGAAGAAATTAAACAAAAAACCTAGTGACAGTCTATCATAGTTTGTCTCACATTGATCTGGAATTTTAACATCAGTCTGGGATTCTCTTATAAAGCAGAGTGGCATTCAGCAATAAAAAGAAGGCAACAGAAAATTATTTCTATCAATATGGTCTGTCTACAAAGCTCCATTTGATAATAGAATTGAGTGAGTTTAGGAAACCCTGTTAACTGCTCATCTCAGGGCCCTTTTATTTTTCTTTCCAATGCCTAGGGGAAAGATCAAGCTAATATTTCTGAAGGCACTCTAAATTCATAGAAGAATTAATACTTTTAAAATATTTTTCCTTCAATTTATTGACAGATCACATTCTTTCTTTTCTATGATCATGTCCTGATTCCCAACAAAAAATTATTCTAAGTGGGGGAAGTATAGAATGATGGTTAACAGCATATCTCTTATTGAGGAGAAATAGGATATTTGCACAGTCTCAAAGCATATTCTCCCAAGACATTTATCAATTACAAAAAAAATAATTTTATAGTAGAGATATCTAGCAGGCACTACTACTTAACCAACTGAAAATACCCTGAAAAGGACACTGTCATAGTCTGTTTAGACTGCTATAAGAAAATAGCATAGACTGGGTATCTTAAACAACAGAAATTTATTTCTCACAGCTCTGGAGGCTGGAAAGTCCTAGATCAAAGTGCTAACAGATTCAGTCTCTATTGCGGGCCCACTTCCTGGTACATAGATGGCTGGCTTCTCACTGTGTCCTCACAAGGCAGACAGGGCCAGGTAGCTCATTGAGGACTCTTTATAAGAGTACAAATTCCAGGTCGGGCGCGGTGGCTCATGCCTGTAATCCCAGCACTTTGGGAGGCCGACACGGGCGGATCATGAGGTCAGGAGGTCGAGATCATCCTGGCTAACACGGTGAAACCCTGTCTCTACTAAAAATACAAAAAAATTAGCCGGGCGTGGTGGCCGGCGCCTGTAGACCCAGCTACTCGGGAGGCTGAGGCAGGAGAAAGGCGTGAACCCGGGAGGCAGAGTTTGCGGTGAGCCGAGATAGCACCACTGCAGTCCGGCCTGGGTGAAAGAGGGAGACTCCATCCCAGAAAAAAAAAAAAAAGAAAAGAGTACAAATTCCATTCACAAGAGCTCCATCATCATAACTTAATCACTTCCTAAAGACCCTACTTGTAAATACCATCACATTGGAAATTAGGGTTCAACAATATCAACTTGGGGGGAATACATTCAGTCTACAGCAGACACACCATCACTTCTGTGGTATTCATACCAAAAAAATGCATAACCTCCATCTAATTATGAGGCAACACCAGACACACCAAAATTGAGAGATATTTTATGAAGTAACTGACCAATACTCTTCAAAAGTGTCAAGTTCATGGGGAAAAAAAAGGAAAGAATAAAAATCTGTGACATATTGAAGGAAACTAAGGAAACACAAAAACTAAATGCAATATGGGATCCTGGATTTTATCCTGGACCAGAAAAAAAGGCATTAGGATAAAAATTGGTGACATTCTAGTAAAACACGTTCCTTCACTACTAATTTTGTATCAATGTTCATTTCCTGGTTTTGATAAGTATACCATGGTTATACAAGATGCTAACATTAGGTAAGCCAAGTAAAGGGAATATGGGATTCGTTTTGTTTTTGTTTTGTAAAGCACATCCCCTGGAACTAGTCAGCCTAGAGCTAAATCCTGGTTCACCACTTGCTAGTTGTATGACCTTGGGCAAATTATACTCCTGTGTCTCAGTTTTCTCATGCTTAAAACAGGGTTAATAATAGGGTTTACCTCACTGAATGGTTATGAGGATTAAATGAATAAAAATATATTAGTACCTTAAGACAGTGCTTGGCACTTAATAAACTCAATATTTATTGACTGTTTTTATTTATCTTCTCTGTTTTTCCTGCCTTCCTCCATGCTCGCATAATACTTTTTGTCTTTATTGGATCATTTAACACGTAGTTGGCTTTCTATTGCAGACTTCTCAGGTATTGGCAACATGTTCACCTGACTTCAGATTTGTGCTTGAAACTTGACTTCAAGTTACTTATTCTTGTAAAGCCAATTTGCTTATAGAAAATGAGTATTAATATAATATTTATGGCTTTGTGAGATTAAGTGATATGTGTGAAGTGCCTCGTAAAGCTCAGTGACTCACAGTAGGCGTTAAATAGATGATAGCTATGTTTCTACTCTCCCTCCTTCCAGTAAACTACAGACATGTTTTATTCATCTTGCTAGACCCCACTTCCCCTAGAACCCTCATTTTAATATAAACACATACACACAACATACCATACACACACCACCTGAATATCACACACACATATGCACACACAATACATATAGATTAGCACAGTGCTATGCATATAATATTAGGTTGGTGCAAAAGTAATTGCGGATTGTCCATTTTATTTGATTTTTATAGAAATAGTTTATGATCATCCTGCAATGAAGTAAAGATGAAGCAGGCCTAGGAAATAAATAAATCCATTTTTATACTAAAATGCATTTATTCTAGTTTTTATACAATAAACTTGCCCCTTCTAATGTCAAAAAACACAATTAATTTTGCACCAACCTAATAGATGTTAAATAAGTACATTTGAAATAAAGAGTTAAACCAGAGGTTGTATTTGTTCCCTCCCTGATTCTATACTCTTTTCTTCAGTATGTGCTCCACATTTCCCTATATATCCAATGTGTATTTCATATAAAAATGTGTTTATTTATTTCCTAGGCCTCCTTCACCTTCACTTCATTGCAGGATGACCATAAACTATTTCTATAAAAATCAAATAAAGATGGACAAATTCCAATTTTAAATGTCACAGTAAGTGCTTTTATAATCCACGTGAGTCAGAGCCCCAAATAGTCCTGTCTTACTTACAGTGACATTCAAAGGGACCATAAATTTAACTCTACAAACTCTCAAAAATGATGTAAATTTTTGCTGTGGGTTTTCATAGAGGGCAGCTGAGGGGTTTTATACAGTAATGTAAACATATAATCTGTCCAAAGTGCAGTGTTTTTGAAAATGAGAAATTTCTCTTAAAAATCTTGTTGGACCAATAGGAATAGACCGAAACTAACCCAGGAACAAACCGAGCTTATCCTAGTCTTTGCCATCCGATTTAAAGATTTTTCTCAAATATTCTATTTAGTCATTTTTCCTTTCCCCAAAGTTCCAAACTCACAGCTGCCTCTAACATTGCTCCCTCCTACTCCAATCCAAACAGTGGCCTCTCACCATGCTGTTCCCTATATTCTTTCTTCTCTTTCTGATGCACTTGGCTACCCCATCTCTCTGCTGGAAGTCAACAGGGACTTCTCTTCCCACTTTTACTGAGCCAGTCTAGGGAGTTTAGAGGACACAATTGCTCCATGAACCCATTCCTCATTTGCTTCCTGAGGAAAGAGGCAGCTGAAACTCCTGATACATTTGGCTTCTCTAGATGATTTTCTTACAAGAAATATCTAATTATCAGCTTTATTACCTTTCCTCCTACTTAACATTATACTTCTCTGCAAAAAGAAGGTGTATATTTGAATCTCCCAAGGGTCTACATCAAATGTTATATTCAAAAAGTCCTTCCTTGACTACTCTTTGACTAGCAAATCAGCCTATTTTATTTACTTGATAGTTCTTAGTACTATCTGAAATTTCTTAGTTTTTGTTTAATGCTTTATTTATTGTCTTCCTCCATGAAAATGTAAGCTTCGTGAGGGCAGAATTTTTCCTACCTTATTCTCCTCCCAGCACTTAGAATACTGGCTGTGCACTGGGTCTGAGGTCATGCTTTCCTGGCTCTTCACTCTCTGTTAGATAGGGAGAAGAGACTCATGCTCTTGATAGTGCACCCAGCTTTACCAAAATTCCTTTAGTTCATCAACAGGGTTCATGATTTCGCGTGTACACTTAGAGAAAGATCACCTCTTTACCACCAAAAGTTCAAGTGTAAATCTAAGCAGTAAAGATCACATCTTTTTAAACCTTCCATCTCTGCATCCAAGGCTAAGATGAGAATTGTGAATTGGGATCAATCTCATGACCCATGAAGGCCCTCTGAGCCCATCATCATGGGTGAAGAATGAGCTTCAGTGTTCTCTCCTACTCCACAAAACATAGAGCCCTGAGATCCCTGAGATTAATCACATCAGCCCTTCATCTCTCTTAGGTCACCTCTTACCTCTCGAGCACTAATCAACATAAAACTCTTCACACACCTCACCCATTCAACCTCTTTCCCCTAACTCCACCTGTATCAGTCAGAGTTAAAAAAAAAAAAAAAAAAAAAAAAACAGAATCAACAGGAGAGATATATATTTAAAAAATGTATTATAGCTAACTGGCTAATGTAATAATTATGGAGGCTGGTAAGTCCAAAATCTGTAGTGTGGGCCAGCAGGCTGGAGACTCAGGAGAGCCAATGGTGCAGATGAAGTCTAGAAAGGAGTCTGCGGGGGGGTACCTTCTGGCTCACGGAGGCCAGCCTTTTTGTTCTATTCAGGTTTCCAATTGATTGAGTGAGGCCCACCTACATTAAAGAAGGCAATTCATTTTACTCAAGGTTCACCAATTTGAACGTTAATCTCATCCCAAAACACCTTCCAAGTTGATATATAAAATTAACCATCACACCATCCTTCCAAGTGAAACCTAAAATCCTTTCACTGGGCCCTCTGGAACTCATGGTCATCATCAGCAACAGTCTCCATACCATCAGCCTAATCTGTGAATGACCCCTCTCCTTTTTCTCTGATGTCTGTCTAAACCATTCAATTTCTTTCCCTCCTTGATACTTTCTTATGTTTTTCCTCCTCTACTCATATTATACTCATGGTATAATGGACTAAAAAGCACATAAAATGGAAAAATAAAAAAGTATTACCAATTCAAATCATTGTAAGAACCTGAAAAAGAAAGGCCACTTTGCTCCTTGGTTTAATAGTAGAATTTAGCAAAAATAGTAGAATTTTTGTTGCAGACAAATGGAGTTACATGTCAACTAGAATGATATCATGGATAAATTCTAGCAGTTATATTAGGGAACTTTGATGCCTATAAAGCAACGGGAACATCCCCTATCAGTAGAAGAAGAATATAGCAAACAGAGTTCTACTCAGTGATAGGGGTGATAAGAGAAGAAGCAAAGAATAGATAATAATGCTAATATAGTAACAATAATCAATACAGCTAACACTTATTGAATATTTATAATGCAATGATAATATAACATGCATCATTCATTACTTTAGTTATCACCACAACTCTAGGAAGAAGATACAACTATTATTCCATTTTATTATAAGGGTCATAGAACTAGTAAGTAATCGAGCCAGAATTCAATCTTTGGTTGTCTGACTACAACTGGCGTTATAAAGTTTTATGCTCCTTTAAAAATGGTTTATTGAGAATCACTTGACAGTCCTTAGAGGCATGGGAAATAAGATTTGTAATCATAAAATTACAAGTTATATTTTTAAGGGTATTTTGCATGAATAAACAGATACTTGAGTATCCCATGGACTATGAGAAAGGTTAGTAATTAGGCCCCTGTAGGGACTCATATTATGGAAACTCACATGACCTCAGACACAGGAGTTTGAAGACCTTCCTTAAGGAAGTTCTACCACTATTATAAGCCACACCCAGCTGCTACTCCCTGTATCTCTGTTCAAATCCTCCCCCACCTTAAAAAAAGGATGAATGGTTGAACTTGAATTTGTTATCTAGCTGTGGCCAAGGTAGCAATGTCATAGAGTAGAAATCTGGCTTCTAGAAGTCTAGAGAAAATGGTCTGATTAGATACCACTAATATATTTATTACATGACTATTTTTCAGAAAGAGTTTGATCATAAGAGAGCATGGGAAGTTTAGGAACAGGATGATCAAAAGGAAGCAGAAAAGGGAGCTTTGAAAAACAGGAGGATCTGACGGGCCTAGAAAGATAGGTTTCCAGTCCAGGAAGTCATGGAGAAGAATTGAGAAATAATATTTCAGTTCTAGATTGTCAAAGGGTCAGGGTATATGAGGTCTGGGAACATCCTTTCAGCAAACCAAGTGGTGAAATCAACCAGAAATTGTTAGTATGATGTTTTAGAGAATTAAAGTTTCATCTGGAAAAGAAAGATCGAAAAGAAAACTTGAATAAACAAATGTATAAGTGATTTTTTAAAAGAAAGTTCCAAATTAGTGAATCTTGGACTCAGAATAATATTTACCATCAAATGAGATATCCTCATGAGGCCTCTGACGAAGGTGAAATTACTACAACAACCAGCTTCAAAACTGGACCAGGACATAACTGCAAAGCTGTCAAGGCAAAGCCAGAGCTAAATACTTACAGCACATGATTCAGCAGGCTTTTCTAACATGCACAACGGGAGGGAAGATGAAATTGTTCTGCAGCATGAAATTGATTAGGAGAATCTGTGAAAATAGGAGGGAAATGAGTTTTAGCTTGAATCGATGCAAGCTGAATCATCTGGGGAAATATCCAAAGCACCACATATTCAATGAGCAGGAGAATACTGAACAATAATGATAGTGAAAGCGACCTTGAGGTGATGGTGGGCCGCAAATTCAGTGGGAGCCGGCAGTCAGAAGTGGCCAATTTGGGATGCTTGACACAGGAGGAGAGGGAGCACCCAGGGAAGTTGTGTCTGGGAAAGTGTGCTCCCCTCCAGACCTTTAGTGCCACTAAAATGGACTCATGCGATTACATCACTGAAATAACTTGAAAATCAGGATTTGGTAAAGAGTGTAGATGCAAAGGTGTAGACGCAAGGCCCTGGCCAAAAGAGGGATGGAGACAAGAGGTTTAGTTCAATGCCCCCTCTTAATTCGTTGAGTTGATTTGTTCCTAAGTGTAAACAAGAGAGGATGTTTTTCTTTCTTTTAAAATAAAACAGAAGGTTGCTCTGGTTCTTCTCATTTGTCTAAAAATCCAGTAGATCAGAAGTTAATTCCTGAAATTCTCCTGTTGCTTTCAGGTTGCAGAATTGCTGGAATTTGCTTTATCCATGAGAGAGGGGTGATTATGGAAGTGTGGATAAAAACGTGGCATTTGAAGTGAATGCTAAAGGATGTGAGCAGATGAAAGTAGAGGGCCTTTCTGACAGATGGTGTGAGAAATGGCAAGATGTACTTCAGGTCTGGCAAAAGGCTGATCTGGCTGTCTCGAAGGGATATTTTTTAGCCAGGGACTGTTTGGTTGCAAGATATAGAAATTCACCTAAACTACCATAAGTTAACGGGAATTTATTCTAAGAACTAGAACCCATGAGAAAAAAGGGCAGGAACAGCAGCTAAGCTTCATTATTGTATAGAATGGAAAGCAGGAATGCCTTCAAGAGCAAAGCCATCTACTTTCCATCTCTTGTCTCTCTTTCCAAGCATCTAATTTTTACCCTTTTCTGGATTTTGGCCCCATTTACCTGCTTCTATCTGCAGAGTGCTCCTTTCTTTGAGGTCTCAGCATACAAATAGCTGCTGCAAAATGACAGTCATACAATTTTATCTATAGTGTCATCCAGGCCCAGTAACATTAGGTAATCGACTGGGCTGAGTTGCTGAGTCTTAAATCCAAATTCCTTAGGAAGATAATCTGATTAATCCAGCTGGGTCAGGTGTCTATCCCTGCCAATCAGCTGTGTTCAGATAGATGGGGCCAGCTACTCAGGGAGATGTGGCATAGTGGACTCAGGAGATCTAACCAAAGGAAGTATATGTGTAGATGGGAAATGATGGACAAAATGAAGATTTATAAAAGGTGATTTAGGCCTTTTTATTGAGGGCTTTAAATGCTAGGCAGAAGGGCTTTAATTTTTAAATAGTAAATAATTGAATCCATTCATTTAAGCCAATAATTCAAACCATTTAGGCAAAAGAGAGTTAAACAAAGCATTGCTATTATAAGATTGCTTTAGCAGCAGGAGAATTTGAAGAAGGGAATGACTGAAGACACAAAGATCAGGATAAAAACTGCAATGACCATAGTTCAGTATAATAAAATTTTAAACTGGGTGATGGTAGTAAGAATAGAAAACAGAGAGAAGGATTTGGGAGTCATCCCACTGATAACATTGGCTACACCCTGGTTGTAGGAATCAAGATAATGCATGTGAATGCATGTTAAAACCAAAAAAGAACTATATAAATGTACCAATAAATGTGTCTGAAAGGATAAGCATGACGATATTTTAATGCCAGACATGGATTTGAAGAAAATCCATGTGATAAAGTCTGACAAACTATTGGGAAAGCAGGTCCCAAGGTTAGGAGAGAGTAGAGGCTAGGAGAGAGTAGAGGCTAAAGATAGGACACTGGACAACCCTCTAGGACTTGAATTTCAATTATAATAAAAGGGAATGTGGGAGAATTTTCTTTAAAAAAGTTGATATAGAACATAAGAATGCCTAAGGGGGATAAAATTATTTTCACCTATTTATAAAATAATTATAATAACAAGACTCCTTCCTTTCACTTTCTCCTTCAAAAGAGTTTTATCTTTTCTGGACTGATCATGTGAATCCAGCTATGGTTATGAAACAAAAATCGATCTTGCTGGTCTTAAAGTGATGTCTCCTCCTCCCTGCTAAAGAAGGAATGGGCATGACCTCACATAGCTGCCTTTCGTGGTCTTTTGATAAATTTTTGATTGTGTAATTTCCCTATTGCCGGATGATTATGCATGGCAGGCTGATTCAGAGGCCATTGTCTGTTTTGAAATGAACCCCTAGAATGCACTAATGGGATTTTGTGCCATTAATGCTGAATAGAGTGGGATGAGAAATCACTTTTCTGATCTGCCTGCTCCTTAGTCTCAGTGCTCAATGACAGTACAAGTAACTACTGTGAGAAAAAGGATTCACCAAGATGTTGGCCCCGTCTATCCTCCCCCTAAATCCCTACAGTGAATTAACAGGGTCTTACCTTTCCCATCTTTTTATCTCTTCCGGTTAACGTGAACATATCAAGTCATGAGCTCTAATTTTCAGGGTGGGTGAGTCATCTGTCACCCTCTCTATAGCCCACTTCATCCAGAATAAAAAGCATTGTGCTATGGGGACATTTTATACCAGGGAAAATCAGCTTTGTAGATCAGGCCCTTTGCCAAATTTCTTTTCAAAGGCTTTCCTTTGCAGATTTTCCTTTTCTGGTCCTTCTAACTTTGAAGCATCTGACTGTTTTTGTGCCCTGTGTGAAGGAGTCAAGATGAGCTGAGTCATAGCTGAGCTGTTTATACTTCTTTTATCTTACTACCATGTAAATCACTCTTCAATTGTATTCTGCAAGAACAAACCCTGAGAAAGGTTGGAAGCTCTGAGCTGGATTTGTGTGCCTCCTTCCCTGCAGGACAGCTTTTCAGTTATAAGCTTAGAACTTGGAGTTAAACCTGTTGTTCCCTCTCTGCTTGCTAGAGTCTAAGAGCACGTTTGCATTCAGTGTGTCCACAATAAAAGTTGTCTTAGTCCTTTACATGGTTTTCCATATCTAGAGGATGGTAAAACAGAGGTAATACATTTTGTGCCTATAGGAAATGGAATTTAACAATATGCACCTACACAGAATGAAAATGAAAACCTGACCCAGAAGTAATACTCTCATAAAATATAAAACTAAATCTATTTGCTGACAAGCACCACCTGGTGTGGGTATTTCCTTCCCAAGAGCTAAGGCACTCTGCGGCCTTGGGAGTTTCCTCTGATCTTCATCAGGAACGTGCATCCTTCCACATGCTTTTCACTTCTGGACGGCTCTGGGTCTCTAAAAGGCAGGGTGAACAGAAACATGCCACCTCACTCAAGACATGCCCCTGTAGAACAATCTGTGGGAAGCATAGAAGGCATATGAATACCTGATAATTGGGATGATTCTGGGAGCATTAGGAAGATTTCATGGCAGCGATGCACAAGCTGTGAATGCTTTGATAAACATTTCCCTCTTGGAGAGTGTGTAGGCAGTCAGATGAGTATTTTCATGACACGAATAAATATGTGAGTGCCGTGGCATTCGCCCCCACTCCACCACACTACCTTCAACATTGTTATGAGAAAAGGGGAGGGGGGAACATGTGTCTGTGTAAGTATATGCATGTATATGTAAGTGCACGCACACACACATACACACACACTTCCACATAAATATAAATACATACTTGTGCTTAGAAAGAAATGAAAGAAGAAAAGACTCTTATATCCTAAAGTACGGGCTTTAAAATATATGTTTGAAATGATGAGTTCTGGACTCTACCTGCAAGCAGAGTAGACTAGCCCACTGAATATCTCTCTGTAGATTTGAATAGGTCTGTTTTGCTGATAAGTGTGGGGAAAGGAAGTGATTCATTTCAGACAACTAGTTGAAGCTTTAGTTGTCCCAAATAATTATCTCCTACTAGCCGAGAGCGGTGGCTCACGCCTGTAATCCCAGCATTTTGGGAGGCCGAGGCAGGCAGATCACAAGGTCAGGAGTTCAAGACCAGCCTGACCAACATAGTGAAACCCCATCACTACTAAAAATACAAAAATTAGCTGGGCATGGTAGCATGTGACTGTAATCCCAGCTATTCAGAAGGCTGAGGCAGGAGAATCGCTTGAACCCGGGAGACAGAGGTTGCAGTGGGCTGAGATCGTGCCACTGCACTCCAGCCTGGGTGACAGAGCGAAACTCTGTTTAAAAAAAAAAAAAAATATCCTACCACCCCCACCCACTCAAATGTTCTACATTGAATTATATTGTCCTTAAACCAAAGGACAATATCCAGGTATATAGTGGGCAGTTTGAACCATAAAGCTTTAGCTCAGGATATAGTCTAACCTTGAGATATAGCTTTTGGGACTAGGCACAGTGGCTCATGCCTGTAATCCCAACACTTTTGGAGGCTAAGGCAGGTGGATTATTTGAGCCTGGGAGTGAGCCCAGGAGTTTGAGACCAGCCTGGGTAACGTGGCAAAAACCAGTCTTTACAAAAAATACAAGAATTAGTCAGGTGTGGCAGCATGCACCTGTACTCCCAGCTACTCGAGAGGCTGAGATGGGAGGATCAATTGCACAGTGGCTAAAGATAGAAACTTTCTAGTCTAAGAGTCGTGGCTGAGATCTGGTGTCTCACACTGATTGTCTGCGTTACTGTAGAATTGTAGATTATTTTATCATGGTGTCAAGATGAAGATAGTGAGGGAGAGAGGGATTGTAATACAGGGTAGAAGGATGGTGAGGATTGAAAAACTACCTGTTTGGTACTATGCTTATTACCTGGGTGACAAAATAATTTGTACACCTAACCCCTAGGACACAATTTTATCTACATAGCAAGCCTCCACATGTACTCTTGAACACAAAAGTTTTAAAAATTATAATAAAAAATAAATAAATAAGACTAGTCTAGATTCCTAGATTGGGAAATAGACTTCATCTCTTAAGGAGAGGTGCCCCAAAGTCACACTACAAAAAACTTGGACATAGGGAGAGGTCAAAAACTGCAGCCATTTTTACAATAAACCTACCAGATTTGGACATCTATTTTTTTAAACATTTCTACGTAAATTATTTAATGTAATTGTCACAATAATCTGATGATGTATGTAGTATTAGCTACATTTTACCAAAAACAAAGGACTTCAGGAATCTCAGAGGATGGTAAAACAGTTGCTAAAGATGTGTAAGGATGAGCTTCAGCTATACTTTGCAGATAAACATTTTAACTTAAATGAGCAGCAGAAGATGAGGTTATTACGCATTTGGCAGTGAAGGTCTATTATAAGTGGAAATGCACTGATTATGTGAGATGAAGATATTTTATGAAAGAAGAGGTACCATTCAAATTCAGTTCATTTAGATCTCACAAAATTCTTCCATTTAACATGATCCTCATCCAGATAGGTTGCATTGGGTCTGACACAGTGGGACATACGCAGCTGATGCCCAATGCTTACTTTTGGCCCCATCTTAGGACTTAGAGGTGGGAAACTGGAAGATTACATTTATTTGACCTTTGGGGAGAAATTAGGAAAACTACCAAACCTCTGTCCCAGCCAGGATGGTTTTGTAATATCATTTTGTGTTTTAAAGTCTCTGCAAGAAAAGTTAACTTTTATAAAGAAAAGAAATACATAGCAATGAGGGACAGAACTTTGATTCTGACCCTGCACCAGCTCATTTAATCTGCTGTGCTGTTTCTCATCTCTGGTTCTCTTATCTCAGTAGTTAAAACAGGGGCCTTACCCCCTCCTTATAGAACCAAGGGAGAAAAGCTCTATTTTTATATGTCCAGACAGAACTGCCTTTTCAGCGTATCAGGGCAAGTGAGGCAAATGGTTTTTCAGATAAGATCAGAGCTCATTTTTAGACCTAGCGTTGATTTTTACCTTTCTACCTTAGGAGGTTCATTATAGAGAATGGTGCAAAATACTTTAATGATCTTTTATACTCATTGGACATTTTTAACCCAAATAATTCGGTAGCAATTCAACATTAGGTCTTTACTGGGGAATAAACTCATTTTTTTTCTGGGCTTCTGGGGCCTTTCTTCACTGGGATATCAATATAACACAGGATATTTGGGGGGCTTGGGTTGGAGGAGATAGGTGACAGTCTGAACTCAGGCTTTATTTCCTAGGAGACTGTGACATCCTTAGGAGAGAGCTGTATGTGTCTTCGTCATCTTGTGGCCTAGTTCAGAGACTCTATCTACTTCATATCACTCTGAGAATTTAATGAAACAATATATCTAAAATAATTAGATCAGTGCCTAGAACATAAGTACTTAATAAACATTACTTATCATTGCTTGAAATATATATTCAGTGAATAGAAATGCCATACTAATATCATATAATCTGACTACAGATGATGTTAAATAATAACTTAATTTGTAGATTATAAAGAATTTCTAGGAGAAGAGAGAAGAAATTTTAAAGTGAAAAGAAATAGTATTGAGGGCTAATCTCAGTTTTTTTTAGTTACTCTTTTCCTACCTTGCTTGCTTATTACTTTTTTTTTTTTTGAGACAAAGTCTTGCTCTGTCACCCAGGCTGGAGTGCAGTGGCATGATCTTGGCTCATTCTAACCACTGCCTCCTGAGTTCAAGCAATTCTCCTGCCTCAGCCTCTTAAGTAGCTGGGATTACAAGTGTGCACCACCACACCTGGCTAACTTTTGTATTTTTAGTAGACAGGCCTTCACCATGTTGGCCAGGCCAGTCTCAAACTCCTGACCTCAAATGATCATCCCACCTTGGCCTCCCAAAGTGCTGGGATTACAGGCATAAGCCACTGTTCCCGGCCAGCATTTATTGCATCTTTAAGTGTTGTCTCGCTTTTTCTTTATACACATCAGTGCAGTTTTACAGTTCCTTCTCTTAGGAATTCTTCCATTTAACATGATTTGTAGTCTGATTTATAATATGTATAAATCATATATACATGATTACAAGGAATAATTATTAAGGTTTTTGTTTCGTTTATGCTCTTAATTTATTTTTAACTTCTTTATTTAATTGTGGTTATCAAAGAATTCCCTGAAACTTAAAATTAGAGTAGCCCCATTTGGCTTGAAAAACAATTTTTGATTATTAATTTTTTAATGATATTAAAGGCTAGCACTCTCAAACTTCCTGTAGCAAGAGAGGCAGAAAAGTTGAGATCTTGGGTGTTGGAATCAGAGTGGGGTTCCAATCATAGCTCTTCCAATAGAGGTTGATTTCTCTGAACCTTGGTTTCCTTATCCCTCAGAGATGGTTATATTTATTTGATAAGATTGGTATAGTACCTGGCACATAGTACTCAGTGTAGTACTCATAGTAAGCACTCAGTAAAGGATAGCTTTCTGTTTTCATTTTAGTAAACCAGGATTAAAATTGCTGAGAGGCCCTGATTGACAGGGAACAGCTGGATGATAGGAGGGAAAGGAGCTGGGTGAGTGTTCTGAAGGCAGAGCAAGGCCCCCAGAAAGGTATGAGAAGGTGCTATTTTGAGAAGTGTGAGGTCAAATAATACTGTTTTCTTGTTTGCTGACCTTTCATCAAACCTCTCCATGAAGACAACTTCTCATGATTCTTTTGGACCTGGGTAGATTCTTATATAATGAAGAGAGAAGACACAGGTTGAGAAATGACATAGTCAAATTCCTTTTCCCAGAATGTGCCATTTCTTCACTCCCTTTGATCTGGGGAAAGTAGATATATCAGCTCTAGGAAAAGAAGACCTGCTCCTTGGGAGATAAGCACTTTTCTTTTCCCTGCTAGAGCTGGGAGTAGGCAGCCACCACACACACACACACACACACACACACACACACACTCACACACACACACATCTATCTCCTGCACCAGTTTCTTCTTCTTTAGCTCCTCCAAGGTTTCTTTCCTAATGGAGGACAAGGTGAGCATGAAAGAAACTGCTAAAGGCCCATGAATATTTCAAAAGGAAAAGCCAAGGGACTCCATTAAACCTTGTACACTATTCTGTAAATGGAGAAAGAAGCTGAATAATGAAATGCTCAGAGGTACTGAGGCAATTTCAGAGAAAAACAGGCAGATATAAAATAAAATGCTTCTCACCATGATGAACTCTCAAATTTATTTTTTAGCCTTCTCTCTCAGCCAATTTTTTTTATATCTCCAACTCCTCGTGCCTATCACTACAAAAAGGCACAGAGGCCATACTGCACAGTGGCTAAAGATAGAAACTTTCTAGTCTAAGAGTCGTGGCTGAGATCTGGTGTCTCACACTGATTGTCTGCGTTACTGTAGAATTGTAGATTATTTTATCATGGTGTCAAGATGAAGATAGTGAGGGAGAGAGGGATTGTAATACAGTCCTCACTTTAGATGAGAATGACATATGGCAAAGCACGTAAATCTCAGAGCATGGGCTAATCACTTATTAAATGTTTCTTCTTAGTATTATGTATTCCTCATCCACATTTTTTCTACTTTCATAAAAAGTGTCTTCTTCTCCCAACTTCTTTACAAACCACAGCTGTGCAAGGCACCTGCCACATCCATCAGGTCAGTAGGCAGCCCTGGCATTTCCAGTGGTAATCAGCCAGTCTGCCCAGCAGACACATATGTTGTAGCAGACCCACTCCTGTTTCTAATGGCCCTGGGGGAACAGGGCTTTTAAGCCTGTACATGCATGCGACAGGCTAGAAAGCTTTTGTTAATGGCCCATGCACTGTCAGGACCAGTTAAGTCAGTTGGTGTGTAACAGGCAGTACCTTCTGCTTCGTGGTCTGGGCTGCTTTCTGGTCTCTTTTCTTTCCCCGTTTTTAGCTACCTCCACAAAATATAAAAGTTTCTTCTGAATTTCAGACCATCCACGTTTTTCATTATCACCTCAGAGTGCAATTGGATATCTGTTTTGAACTCCAACCTTGGTGGAGTAGGAAACGTGAGAAATATTCTCCTTTAAGGTTCTCTGTATACATTTCTTGAGGGCAGAGATAACAAAGGCACTGACCAAGATATTTTGGAATCAGTTAATCTATGTTCTCCAGATTACAAAATTTTCTGAGTCTTTAAAAAAACTGCAATTTCTACTCACAAATATCATTGTATGCCCACTAAATTGTCATCCACAGTGCTAGATGCTTGTTATGCAAAGCAGTCGTGTTCCCAGCCCTTAGTGTCTTAGTGTCTAATGGAGAAGGTAGAAAAACTAAATGGGTGATTATGATACAGTGGAAAGCTAGTATAGCAGTTATATGCCAGAGCAAGATATATGTAGGAAGTGCCCTAAAGTAGATGAGGGAGTTGGGAAAGACCTCTCAGAGGTGGTAACATCTGAACTGAGCCCTAAAATACGAATAAGAATTAACCAATTGTTTGGTACAATATACAATTTCTACTTTTATCAGAGCAAATTCTTTCAAATAGAATGCTATATATTTGCTCTCAAATCTCATCTCCTACTTAAGATAATCTCACCTCTTTTTGATATTCTATAGCTTATTCATTTACACCTACAATTTAGAACCTAAACAAAACCAAACCTTGCATTGCTGTTTCCCAACCATTTTCAGTCTTTTCAATCCTAAATAAAATGCAGGTTTCCCAAGAGTAGGGGTTTTATTAATGTGGATTTTATATTTCCAATGATTCCTGTGTAGTTTCGTCAAATGGTTGCCTATCTGGAAGGCAAAAGCAATGGGATCTATTCCTGACTCTGAAAAGTGTTTGTATGACTTGCTGAAATCCTCATAGAGAGCAATTGCTGATTTTAGTTGCTCCATCTGTAAAATGGGGATAATATCTCTCTTCTAGCTGTCACATGGGATTGTGTAATGTTAATGATAGACTACTTCTAAAAACACTTAAGTAGTAAAATTCTGTAAAATGGCTTATGGAACAGGCCTCTGATAATTACCCTTTATTGAATGTAATGCTAGACACTCTGCTCATTGTCCCTGTATCAATTAGAACAGGTGAGAGTAGGTTGTGATCAAGAACATCCCCAAATATCAGTGACTTAAATCGACTAGGGTTTATTCTTGATTATTTAACTTGTCCCTTCCAGACTGTGGGTAGAGAATGGGAACTCTGCTCATTGCAGTCACTCAGAAACACAAGCTGTTGGCCAACCACATTTTTAAGTATTGCCAGATGCAATGACAGAAAGAGAATTTGAGGGTCTCACATGGGCACGTACTTGCTCATGCCAGGAAGGCACTGCTACTTACAATTCAATGACTAAAATTAGTCCCATAACCTCATACAGTCACAAGGAGAACAAGAAGTAAAATCTCACTATGTGCCCAGAAGGCAGAAAGCCATAAAGATTTGGTGAACAGGAAGAATGTTCAAAAGACACAGTATATGAATGGTCTACTTCCTTTGAACAGCCCTCAGCCAAGTGAAGGAGATGGACAAAGACCATGCAATGAGTATAGTAAGGGGCGACTTCATGAACTAAGGGACACACATAGTGGACCAATTCATTCATGCAAGAAACATTTATTGAGTACCTGCATTGTACCAGGTACCAGGATCCCAAGAAACCAATCCCTGCCTTCAAGGAGCACATGGTCTTAACAAGATGTAGAAAGAGAGAAGAGCATGTATTGAGTGCCACTAAGTGTCAAACTCTGGGGTATCTTTCTGATTCAGTCTCTACCACTGTCCTGCATAATTGCTACTGTTCTCCCCATGTCATATGTACCCTAGTCATTTCTGAGGTCACAATGTTATGGTGACAGAGCTGGAAATGGAACCAGGTCTGTCTACTTACTTCATGCGCTGTGCTCTTTTCATCATGTCATATGGATCCCTTGGTCAAAAGGAGAAAATATATAAGCAGCAAATTACAACATGGGAAATATGATAGCAATATGAACAGTTTATGTATTGTGTACTTTCACAATACCCTGGAGATGCAACTAAATGCCTGGGGAGTATCTGAAAGGCTTCTCCATGGAGGTGACATTTTAGCTGGGACTTTTGAAAGATGAGTCAATATTTGCCATGCAGAAATCAATTCAGTCTAAGTAGTAATAAATGGGGCTTAAAGAGGCAAACAACCAAGTTGTTTATCTAATGTCAAATATCCCTGCAATTACATATTTCCATCTGGCTTCCTTGCCACCAACATCCTTCTAAAATCTCAGACTCATAACCTCACAGCAACCCTCAATTCCTTTCTCTTTCACCTTTACATACCGTTGTGAATCTATTACCAAATTTGGACAAATTCTTCTCTGTATTGTTTCTCAGAACTGCACTACATGACCAGATCCCAGAGGGTGGTTGTCTGGAGGAGAGGAATGTTGCCTGGTGTAATCATGGACCTTCTATCTGCTTATGGTGTTTTCAACATCAGCAGAGCTGAAGTCATATCAAGGGGATAGAGAAATTCTACTTTTCTCACACAACTTTAGCAACTGGAAGCTTATCTCTGGCTGATTCTGGCAAAGGAAGAAGAAAGGATGCAATGTGATGAATTGTTTCTAAAGGTGTAAGCCTGAAGCTGGAATAATTGTAAAGGTATCCCCATTTATAATAATGTTGCTTCAGCACTTCCCTGCAGATGCTTCCTTCTTTTAGCTCCTTACAGAAATAGAGAGATTTTTGTTCTTTTTAAAAAGTTTCCATTTCCATTTGCTAAATGAGCCAATTTAACTTATAAAAAGAGATTTAAAAAAGAATAAATATAAAATATTGATATATATTTTGGAAACTCTGGATTTATGTTCTGTTCACTCTCTTAACAATTCAACTTGGTCATTCTGATCAGAACATGTTCTTTTATTTTCTCCAGTGGTCAACATTATACATTTTATCCATTAGTGAAAAATCTACCCATTCATTTGTTTATAATGAAGTATGAAATAAAGACCAAACAATTAGAAATAATCTGGAAATTTTGTCAATAATGAACAATTCCATTTGCTATTACTTTGCATTACTTTGGAACATTCTCAATTAGGAGCTGACCCATGTTAAGGAATATTTATCAGGCAGTTGCTAAAGTCATGAAGAGTGGTGCTATTTTGCAGATGGCATTGTATTTATCTGTTTTCTAAGCAATTGCATGTATGGTAGGTAGGTGCAAGGAACCTGGAAGATGGCCTTTAAACTAGGTTGGCAATATTTAAAACAATCTCCAATGACAGATTTTTGGAGGCCTTCAGCGATGTTGGGAACAGTGCCAGCTCTGAATCCACACAGAAAATGAGAACAAACAGGTCCTCTCCAATATATCTAAGAAAGGTTTGTAGAGGAACTGAGAATCAGGGTCTCCCTGAGTGACAGGACAATGATGACTTGAAAGTGGGAAAATGGGCCCTTGCCTATCTATGTTACACATTTATATTATAAATATACACATTTATAACAATATATAATACATTATATTAATGTATATGTTTATACATTATTCATTTCCTGGATTCCTAAAATGATATAATAATATGTTAATATTTCTAAAATGGGACTCATCTTCAAAAATGTATATACCTAATGTGATAATGCTCTTTTTTGTTATATATTTTAAAGAATTTTTTTTAATACTTTAAGCTCTGGGATACATGTGCAGAACATGCAGTTTTGTTACATAGGTATACACGTGCCATGGTGGTTTGTTCCACCCATCAACTTGTCATCTACATTAGGCATTTCTCCTAATGCTATCCCTCCCCTAGCCCTCCACCCCCTGACAGGCCCCAGTGTGTGATGTTCCACTCCCTGTGTCCATGTGTTCTCACTGTTGAACTCAGTGAGAACATATGGTGCTTAGTTTTCTGTTCCTGTGTTAGTTTGCTGAGAATGATGGTTTCCAGCTTCATCCATGTCCCTGCAAAGGACATGAACTCATCCTTTTTATGGCCGCATAGTATTCCATGGTGTATATGTGCCATGTTTTCTTTATCCAGTCTATCATTTGGGCGTTTGGGTTGGTTCCAAGTCTTTGCTATTGTGAACAGTGCTGCAATAAACATAAGTGTGCATGTGTCTTTATAGTAGAATGATTCATAATCCTTTGGACATATACCCAGTAACGGGATTGCTGGGTCAAATGGTATTTCTGGTTCTAGATCCTTGAGGAATCACCACACTGTCTTCCACAATAGTTGAACTAATTTACACTCCCATCAACCGTGTGAAAGCATTCCTATTTCTCCATATCCTCTCCAGCATCTGTTGCTTCCTGACTTTTTAATGATTGCCATTCTAACTGGCGTGAAATGGTATCTCATTGTAGTTTTGATTTGTATTTCTCTAATGACAGGTGATGATGAGCTTTTTTCCTATATTTACTGGCCACATAAATGTCTTCTTTTGAGAAGTGTCTGTCATATCCTTTGCCCACTTTTTGATGGGGTTGTTTTTTTCTTGTAAATTTGTTTCTTTGTAGATTCTGGATATTAGCCCTTTGTCAGATGGATAGATTGCAAAAATTTTCTCCAATTCTGTAGGTTGCCTGTTCACTCTGATTATGATTTATTTTGCTGTGCAGAAGCTCTTTAGTTTAAGTAGATCCCATTTGCCAATTTTGGCTTTTGTTGCCATTGCTTTTGGTGTTTTAGTCATGAAGTCCTTGCCCATGCCTATGTTCTGAGTGGTATTGCCTAGGTTTTCTTACAGGGTTTTTATGGCTTTAGGTCTTATATTTATGTCTTTAATCCATCTTGAGTTAATGTTTGTATAAGGTGTAACAAGGGGTCCAGTTTCAGTTTTCTGCATATGGCTAGCCAGTTTTTCCAACACCATTTATTAAACAGGGGATCCTTTCCCCATTGCTTGTTTTTGTCAGGTTTGTCAAAGATCAGATGGTTGTAGATGTGTGGCATCATTTCTCAGGTCTCTGTTCTGTTCCATTTGGTCTATATATCTGTTTTGGTAACAGTACCATGTTGTTTGGGTTACTGTAGCCTTGTAGTATAGTTTGAAGTCAGGTAACGTGATGCCTCCAGCTTTGTTCTTTTTGCCTAGGACTGTCTTGGTTATACGGGCTCTTTTTTGGTTCTACATAAAATTTAAAGTAGTTTTTTTTCTTATTCTGTGAAGAAAGTCAATGTTAGCTTGATGGGGATAGCACTGAATTTATAAATTACTTTGGGCAGTATGGCCATTTTTATGATAGTGATTCTTCCTATCCATGAGCATGGAATGTTTCCATTTGTTTGTGTCCTCTCTTATTTCCTTGAGCAGTGGTTTGTAGTTCTTGAGTAGGTTCTTCACATCCCTTGTAAGTTGTATTCCTAGGTATTTTACTCTCTTTGTAGCAATTGTGAATGGGAGTTCATTCATGATTTTGCTGTTTGTCTATTATTGGTGTATAGGTATGCTCGTGATTTTTGCACATTGATTTTGTATCCTGAGACTTTACTGAAGTTGCATATCAGCTTAAGGAAATTTGGGGCTGACATGATGGGGTTTTATAAATATACAATCATATCAAATGCAAACAGAGACAATTTGACTTCCTCTCTTCCTGTTTGAACACCCTTTATTTCTTTCTTTTGCCTGATTGCCCTGGCCAGAACTTCCAACACTATGGTGAATAGGAGTGGTGAGAGAGAGCATCCTTGTCTTGTACCCTTTTTCAAAGGGAATGCTTTCAGTTTTTGCCCATTCAGTATGATATTGGCTGTGGGTTTGTCATATATAGCTCTTATTATTTTGAGATGTGTTGCACTAATACCTAGTTTATTGAGTTTTTAGCATGAAGAGGTATTGCATTTTTTCGAAGGCATTTTCTGCATCTTTTGAGATAATTATGTGGTTTTTGTCATTGGTTCTGTTTATGTGATTATGTATATTGATTTGGGTATGTTGAACCAGCCTTGCATCCCAGGGATGAAGCCAACTTGATCATGGTGGGTAAGCTTTTTGATGTGCTGCTGGATTCGGTTTGCCAGTATTTTACTAAGGATTGTTGCATGAATGTTCATTAGGGATATTGGCCTGAAGTTTTTCTGTTTTGTTGTATCTCTGCAAGGTTTTCGTATCAGGGTGATGTCGACCTCATAAAAAGAGTTAGGGAGGAGTCCTCTTTTTCTATTGTTTGGAATAGTTTCAGAAGAAAAGGTACCAGCTCCTCCTTTTGCCTCTGGTAGAATTCGGCTGTGAATCAATCTGGTCCTCGGCTTTTTTTGGTGGGTAGGCTATCAATTACTGCCTCAATTTCAGAACTTGTTATTGCTCTATTCAGGGATTCGACTTCTTCCTGGTTTAATCTCGGGTGGGTGTACGTGTCCAGGAATTTATCAATTTCTTCTAGATTTTCTAGTTTATTTGTGTAGAGGTGTTCATAGTATTCTCAGATGGCAGTTTATATTTCTGTGTGATCAATGTTGATATCCTATTTATTGTTTTTTATTGTGTCTATTTGCTTCTTCTCTCTTTTCTTCTTTATTAATCTGGCTAGCGGTCTATCTATTTTATTAATCTTTTCAAAAAACCAGCTCCTGCATTCATTTGAGTTTTTGAAGGGTGTTTCATGTCTCTATCTTCTTCAGTTCTACTCTGATCTTAGTTATTTCTTACCTTCTGCTAGCTTTTGAATTTGTTTGCTCTTGCTTCTCTAGTTCTTTTAATTGTGATCTTAGGGTGTCGATTTTGGATCTTTCCTGCTTTTTCTTGTGGGCATTTAGTGCTATAAATTTCCCTGTAAACACTGCTTTAGCTATGTCCCAGAGATTCTGGTACCTTGTGTCTTTGTTCCCATTGGTTTCAAAAACTTATTTATTTCTGCCTTAATTTCATTATTTACCCAGGAGCAGGAGCAGGAGCAGGAGCAGAAGCAGGTTATTCAGTTTCCATGTAGTTGTGTGGTTTTGAGTGAGTTTTTTAACCCTGAGTTCTAATTTGATTGCACTGTGGTCTGAGAGACTTTTTGTTATAATTTCCATTCTTTTGCATTTGCTGAGGAGTGTTTTACTTCCAATTATGTGGTCAATTTTAGAATAAATGCAATGTGGTGCTGAGAAGAATGTATATTCTGTCAATTTGGGGTGAAGAGTTCTGTAGAGATGTCTATTAGGTCCCCTTGATCCAAAGCTGAGTTCAAGTCCTGAATATCCTTGTTAATTTTCTGTCTCATTGATCTGTCTAATACTGACAGTGGGGTGTTAAAGTGGCCCACTATTATTGTGTGGGAGTCTAAGTCTCTTTGTAGGTCTCTAAGAACTTGCTTTATGAATCTGGGTGCCCCTGTGTTGGGTACATATATATTTAGAATAGTTAGCTCTTCTTGCATTGATCCCTTTACCATTATATAATGCCCTTCTTTGTCTCTTTTGATCTTTGTTGGTTTAAATTCTGTTTTTATCAGATACTAGGATTGCAAACCCTGCTTTTGTTTGCTTTCCATTTGCTTGGTAAATATTCCTCCATCCCTTTATTTTGAGCCTATGTGTGTCTTTGCATGTGAGATCGGTCTCCTGAATACAGCACACTGGTGGGTCTTGACCCTTTGTCCAGTTTGTCAGTCTGTGTCTTTTAATTGGGGGCATTTAGCCCATTTATATTTAAGGTTAGTATTGTTATGTGTGAATTTGATCCTGTCATTATTATGTTAGCTGTTTATTTTGCCCGTTAGTTGATGCAGTTTCTTCCTAGCATCAATGGTCTTTACAATTTGGTATGTTTTTTGCAGTGGCTGGTACCCATTTTTCCTTTCCATATTTAGTGCTTCCTTCAGGAGCTCTTGTAAGGCAGGCCTGGTGGTGACAAAATGTCTCAGCATTTGCTTGTCTGTAAAGGATTTTATTTCTCCTTTGCTTATGAAGCTTAGTTTGGTTGGATATGAAATTCTGGGCTGAAAATTCTTTTCTTTGAGAATGTTAAATATTGGCCCCCACTCTCTTCTGGCTTGTAGGGTTTCTGCTGAGAGATCTGCTGGTAGTCTGATGGGCTTCTCCTTGTGGGTAACCCGACCTTTCTCTCTAGCTGCCCTTAACATTTTTTCCTTCATTTCAACCTTGGTGAATCTGACAATTATGTGTCTTGGGGTTGCTCTTCTCGAGGAGTATTTTTGTGATGTTCTCTGTATTTCCTGAATTTGAATGTTGGCCTGTCTTACTAGATTGGGGAAGTTCTCCTGGATAATATCCTGAAGAGTGTTTTCCAACTTGATTCCATTCTCCCAGTCACTTTCAGGTACACCAATTAAACATATGTTTGGTCTTTTCACATAGTCCCATATTTCTTGGAGGCTTTTTTCATTCCTTTTCATTCTTTTTTCTCTAATCTTGTCTTCACACTTTATTTCATTAAGTTGATCTTCAATCTCTGATATCCTTTCTTCCACTTGATCGATTCAGCTATTGATACTTGTGTATGCTTCACGAAGTTCTCATGCTGTGTTTTTCAGCTCCATCAGGTCATTTATGTTCTTCTCTAAACTGGTTATTCTAGTTAGCAATTCCTCTAACCTTTTTTCAAGGTTCTTTGTTTCCTTGCATTGGGTTAGAACATGCTCCTTTAGCTTGGAAGAGTTTGTTATTACCCACCTTCTGAAGCCTACTTCTGTCAATTCGTCTAACTCATTCTCCATTCAGTTTTGTTCCCTTGCTGGCAAGGAGTTCTGATCCTTTGGAAGAGAAGAGGTATTCCGGTTTTTGGAATTTTCAGCCTTTTTGTGCTGGTTTTTCCTCATCTTTGTGGATTTATCTACCTTTCGTCTTTGATGTTGGTGACCTTTGTATGGGGTTTCTGTGTGGACGTCCTTTTTGTTGATGTTGATGCTATTTCTTTCTGTTTGTTAGTTTTCCTCCTAACAGTCAGGTCCCTCTGCTGCAGGTTTGCTGGAGTTTGGTGGAGGTCCACTCCAGACCCTGTTTGCCTGGATATCACCAGCAGAGGCTACAGAACAGCAAAGATTGCTGCCTGTTCCTTCCTCTGGAAGTTTTGTCCTAGAGGGGCACCTGCCAGATGCCAGCTGGAGCTCTCCTGTATGAGGTGTCTGTTGACCCCTGCTGTGAGATGTCTCCCAGTCAGGAGGCATGGGGGTCAGGGACCAACTTGAGGAGGCAGTCTGTGTCTTAGCAGAGCTAGAGCGCTGTGCTGGGATATCTGCTGCTCTCTTCAGAGCCGGCAGACAGGAATGTTTAAGTTTGCTGAAGCTGCTCCCACAGATGCCCCTTATTCCAGGTGCTCTGTCAAAAGAAGTTATTATTTAGAACTATACTGACCATTTGGATCATTTATCTTTATCTTCTACCATTGAATTATAAGAATACTTTTATATATCCCAGATGCTATTTTTTAATCAGATTATATCTATATCTATATATGTAACAATATGTAGATGTATATGTATCTAGAATATCTAGATATATCAGATTTTATATGTGTGTATCTTACAGTTCAGTATAAGAAGAGAAATGCACGTATTTTAAATTTACTGTTCAACAACCTTTGATAGATATATACACATATGTAACTCGCATTATAGTCAAGATATAGAATATTTCCATTATCCCCAAAGGTTACTTTCTTTGCTTCTTTCTGGTCAATCCTCATTTGTACACCAACACCCAGGCAACCACTGAGACTTTATCACTGTACATTTGCATTGTCTTTTCCAGATTATCATATAAGTGAGAAGATATGGCATATATTCTTTTGTGTCTGGCTTCTTATGAGCAGCATGTTTTGGAGATTCATTCATGTTGTTTAATGTACCGGTAGTTTATACCTTTCTATTGCAGAATGTCTTCGGTTTTGGGGGTACACTCTAATTTATTCATCCACTTACTTTTTGAACTTTCTCACTGTTTCCAGTTTGAGTCTATCACAAATTAAATTGCTATTAACATTATGTACAGCTCCTTGTGTTAACATATGTTTCTGTTTCTTTCTTTTTTTTTTTTTTGCAGTTGCAAGATTTAAGAGTGAAAACAGAGCCCCCATACAATGGGAGAGGACCCAAAGGGGGTTGCCAGTGCCGGCTCAAATGCCTGGGTTTATATATCCCGATCATTTTCCCTCCCCCTGTGCTCTCAGGCGATAGATGATTTGACTATTTCTTCTTTTTAATACTTTAAGTTTTAGGGTACATGTGCACAACGTGCAGATTTGTTACATATGTATACATGTTCCATGTTGGTGTGCTGCACCCATTAACTTGTCATTTAACATTAGGTATATCTCCTAATGCTATCCCTCCCCCCTCCCCCCACCCCACAACAGGCCCCGGTGTGTGATGTTCCCCTTCCTGTGTCCATGTGTTCTCATTGTTCAATTCCCACCTATGAGTGAGAACACACGGTGTTTGGTTTTTTGTCCTTGAGATAGTTTGCTGAGAATGATGGTTTCCAGCTTCATCCATGTCCCTACAAAGAACATGAACTCATCATTTTTTATGGCTGCATAGTATTCCATGGTGTATATGTGCCACATTTTCTTAAGCCAGTTTATCATTGTTGGACATTTCGGTTGGTTCCAAATCTTTGCTATTGTGAATAGTGCCGTAATAAACATGCGTGTGCATGCGTCTTTATAGCAGCATGTCTTATAATCCTTTGGGTATATACCCAGTAATGGGATTGCTGGGTCAAATGGTATTTCTAGTTCTAGATCCCTGAGAAATCGCCACACTGACTTCCACAATGGTTGAACTGGTTTACAGTCCCACCAACAGTGTAAAAGTGTTCCTATTTCTCCACATCCTCTTCAGCAGCTGCTGTTTCCTGACTTTTTAATGATCACCATTCTAACTGGTGTGAGATGGTATCTCATTGTGGTTTTGATTTGCATTTCTCTGATAGCCAGTGATGATGAGCATTTTTTCATGTGTCTTTTGGCTGCATAAATGTCTTCTTTTGAGAAGTGTCTGTTCATATCCTTTGCCCACTTTTGATGGGGTTGTTTGTTTTTTTCTTGTAAATTTGTTGGAGTTCGTTGTAGATTCTGGATATTAGCCCTTTGTCAGATGAGTAGATTGCAAAAATTTTCTCCCATTCTGTAGGTTGCCTGTTCACTCTGATGGTAGTTTCTTTTGCTGTGCAGAAGCTCTTTAGTTTAATTAGATCCCATTTGTCAATTTTGGCTTTTGTTGCCATGGCCTTTGGTGTTTTAGACATGAAATTGTTGCCCATGCCTACGTCCTGAATGGTATTGCCTAGGTTTTCTTCTAGGGTTTTTATGGCTTTGGGTCTAACATTTAAGTCTTTAATCCATCTTGAATTAATTTTTGTATAAGGTGTAAGGAAGGGATCCAGTTTCAGCTTTCTACATATGGCTAGCCAGTTTTCCCAGCACCATTTATTAAATAGGGAATCCTTTCCCCATGCTTGTTTGTGTCAGGCTTGTCAAAGATCAGATAGTTGTAGATATGCGGCATTATTTCTGAGGGCTCTGTTCTGTTCCATTGGTCTATATCTCTGTTTTGGTAGCAGTACCGTGCTTTTTGGTTACTGTAGCCTTGTAGTATACTTTGAAGTCAGGTAGCATGATGCCTCCAGCTTTGTTCTTTTGGCTTAGGATTGACTTGTCAATGCAGGCTCTTTTTTGGTTCCATATGAACTTTAAAGTAGTTTTTTCCAATTCTGTGAAGAAAGTCATTGGTAGCTTGACGGGGATGGCATTGAATCTATAAATTACCTTGGTCACCATGGCCATTTTCACGATATTGATCCTTCCTACCCATGAGCATGGAATGTTCTTCCATTTGTTTGTATCCTCTTTTATTTCATTGAGCAGTGGTTTGTAGTTCTCCTTGAAGAGGTCCTTCACATCCCTTGTAAGTTGGATTCCTAGGTATTTTATTCTCTTTGAAGCAATTGTGAATGGGAGTTCACTCATGATTTGGCTCTCTGTTTGTCTGTTATTGGTGTATAAGAATGCTTGTGATTTTTGCACATTGATTTTGTATCCTGAGACTTTGCTGAAGTTGCCTATCAGCTTAAGGAGATTTTGGGCTGAGACGACGGGGTTTTCTAGATATACAATCATGTCATCTGCAAACAGGGACCATTTGACTTTCTCTTTTCCTAATTGAATACCCTTTGTTTCCTTCTCCTACCTGATTGCCCTGGCCAGAACTTCCAACAGTATGTTGAATAGGAGCGGTGAGAGAGGGCATCTGTGTCTTGCGCCAGTTTTCAAAGGGAATGCTTCTAGTTTTTGCCCATTCAGTATGATATTGGCTGTGGGTTTGTCATATATAGCTCTTATTATTTTGAGATACGTCCCATCAATACCTAATTTATTGAGAGCTTTTAGCATGAAGGGTTGTTGAATTTTGTCAAAGGCCTTTTCTGTGTCTATGGAGAGAATCATGTGGTTTTTATCATTGGTTCTGTTTATATGCTGGATTACATTTATTGATTTGCATATGTTGAACCAGCCTTGCATCCCAGGGATGAAGCCCACTTGATCATGGTGGATAAGCTCTTTGATGTGCTGCTGGATTTGGCTTGCCAGTATTTTATTGAGGATTTTTGCATCGTTGTTCATCAGGGATATTGGTCTAAGATTCTCTTTTTTTGGTGTGTCTTTGCCAGGCTTTGGTATCAGAATGACGCTGGCCTCATAAAATGAGTTAAGAACGATTCCCTCTTTTCTATTGATTGGAATAGTTTCAGAAGGAATGGTAGCAGCTCCTCCTTGTACCTCTGGTAGAATTCGGCTGTGAATCCATCTGGTCCTGGACTTTTTTTGGTTGGTAAGCTATTAATTATTGCCTCAATTTCAGCTCCTGTTATTGGTCTATTCAGAGATTCAACTTCTTCCTGGTTTAGTCTTGGGAGGGTGTATGTGTTGAGGAATTTATCCATTTCTTCTAGATTTTCTAGTTTATTTGTGTAGAGATGTTTATAGTATTCTCTGATGGTAGTTTGTATTTCTGTGGGATCGGTGGTGATATCCCCTTTATCATTTTTTATTGTGTCTATTTGATTCAACTCCCACACAATAATAATGGGAGACTTTAACACCCCACTGTCAACATTAGACAGATCAACGAGACAGAAAGTTAACAAGGATATGCAGGAATTGAACTCAGCTCTGCTCAAGCGGACCTAATAGACATCTACAGAACTCTCCACCCCAAATCAACAGAATATACATTCTTTTCAGCACCACACCACACCTATTCCAAAACTGACCACATAATTGGAAGTAAAGCACTCCTCAGCAAATGTAAAAGAACAGAAATTATAACAAACTCTCTCTCAGACCACAGTGCAATCAAACTAGAACTCAGGATTAAGAAACTCACTCAAAACCGCTCAACTACATGGAAACTGAACAACCTGCTCCTGAATGACTACGGGGTACATCATGAAATGAAGGCAGAAATAAAGATATTCTTTGAAACCAACGAGAACAAAGACACAACATACCAGAATCTCTGGGACACATTCAAAGCAGTGTGTAGAGGAAAATTTATAACACTAAATGCCCACAAAAGAAAGCAGGAAAGATCTAAAATTGACACCCTAACATCACAATTAAAGGAACTAGAGAAGCAAGAGCAAACACATTCAAAAGCTAGCAGAAGGCAAGAAATAACTAAGATCAGAGCAGAACTGAAGGAAATAGAGACAGAAAAAACCCTTCAAAAAATCAATGAATCCAGGAGCTGGTTTTTTGAAAAGATCAACAAAATTGATAGAACACTAGCAAGACTAATAAAGAAGAAAAGAGAGATTTGATTATTTCTTTACCTCCTGCTTTTAGCCTAATTGGTATTTTACTGGGCTCTCTTTACAACCTGATTGGTCAGGTGTGAGCTGAGTTACAAGCCCTGTGTTTAAAGGTGGGTGTGGTCAGCTTCCCCAGCTAGGTTCAGGAATTCTTAGTCGGCCTAGGAAATCCAGCTAGTCCTGTCTCTCAGTCCCCTCTCTCAACAGGAAAACCCAAGTGCTGTTGGGGAGGTTGGCTGACGACTGCTCTAACTGCTTTCTGCTGAATTGGGGCATAGCAGGGGTCATGCAGTTGAGATTTCCTTGGGAGAGGTGCCCTCGATGTCATCAACATCAGAGCATTGGCTAGCAGGCCAGTCCAGGGGTCCGCAGTAGATCTTAGTCATGGACTGCATCTGGGGCTCCATTTGAAGAACGATTTGTAGTTTTACACCTTCGATTCTGGAAGAGACAAACTTAACAAGGAGATTAAAGATACAGGGATTGAAATGTATGGCCTAAATGCAGGGTGAGGCACATCCAACAGTTAGTAGGGTTTTGGGCTGAGGCTTCATGGAGCCCAGTGAGAGTGGTATTAAATAGGCTTACTGGGCGAGTATGTGTACGGGGGGTGAAAGTGGGGTTTCCTTTAGAAAAACTCCTATACAATGAGGTGTCAGTATTTCTGGGAAGCTGCATTATCCATAGAAGCTCTTGGTGAGGGGAACTACTGGTAGTACAGCAGCATGGAGGAGGTGCAATGAGAGTGAAAGTGGGTAAGAGAACAGTAAAGAGAAAAATGTGACAAGGGAGGGCCACGGGGATCTACGATTCTAGTTACTTTCCTCACGGTTGTCATTTGAAGAGCAGGCACAGATCCTGTAGAGGTTCGCAGGAATAGCTAGCATTGTCTCCTGCATTTTCAGGTTCCTTTGGCAGTATCCAGCGTTGTGGGATGAGGATAAGCCAGTATAGGCTGGTTACATTCCTCACTGAGGGCCCTGGTTCCTTTGGATAATTTTAGCCCTAAGTATTTAAACTGCTGTGAGCAGAGCTGAGCCTTTGGTTTGGAAACCTTGTAGCCACAAGTGGTGAGGAAGTTTAAGAGCGCTTGGGTGGCTTGATGGCACAAAGTTTCTGAACAGGAGGCTAAAAGTAAATCATTCACATACCAAAGGACGAGAGTGTCCAAGTATGAGAACTGGCTCAAGTCTTGGGCTAATGCTTGGCCAAATAGATGGCCTGAAACCTTGGGGTAAAACAGTCCAGGTGAGTTGAGACGTTGGGTTCGAAGGATCTTCAAAGGCAAAGAAGAATTGAGAGTCAGGATGTAAGGGATGCAGAAAAAGTCATCCTTAAGGTCCAGGACTGTAAACCATTCTGCTTCTTCTGGTATTTGGGAAAGCAGAGCATAAGGGTTAGGTGCAGCTGGTTATACAGGGACAGCAGCCTCATTGATAATCCTGAGATCTTGCACTAATCTCCACTCTCCATTGGGTTTCTGTACTCCTAAAATTGAAGTATTGTAGGGACTATTGCACTATTGCATGATTTTACTAGGCCTTGGGCTTTTAGGTCCTTAATCTTTTGAAGTACTTGTTGGGCCTCAGGTCTAAGGGGGTACTGCCTTTGGTAGGGAAAGAAGGTGAATCTTTTAGTTTAACTTGAAGGGAATGGGCATTCTTCGCTCATCCATATTGTCCTTCTGTTGTCAGGAATTAATTGTCAGGATTAATTCCTTCCTCAAGTAGGGGACAAGAAATGTGTGTTCCTTCTCCTATATTCAGGTGTATAATGGCCCCTGCTTTTGCTAGGATGTCTCTCCCTAACAAAGGAGTGGGGCTTTCAGGCATAATTAGAAAAGCACGTGAAAAGAGTAAAGTTCCCCAGTCACAACTTAGTGCCTGGGAGAAGTATCTAGTGACTGCCTGTCCTAGGACCCCTCAGATAGTGACAGATCAGGAGGACAGTTGTCTGGCACAGAAGAGTAAGACTGAGAAGGCAGCGCCACTGTCCAGGAGACAGTTAACCTCCTGGCCCTCAATGGTCAAGCATACCTGGGGCTCTGTGAGGGTGATGGCATGGGCTGGCGCTTGCCCCGGGCACCCTCAGTCCTGTTGCTGGATCATCTGGTTAGTGGCTTCTGACTCAGAGGAACTTCATCCCCTGGGGCAGTGGGCCTTCCAGTGATTCCCTTGACATAAGAGGCATGGATGAGTGGGCGGCTTATTTCTATTCAGACAATCTTTTTTTTAAAGTGTCCTTGTAGACTGCACTGAAAGCAAGCCCTATTAGGCATTCAATTTGCCCAGTCTTTCCCTTTTCCAGAGCCTCCAAAGTCCGCTTGCCTGAGGGCCATGACTTCTTTATCTCATCTTCTTTTATCTCCTGTATCTAAGGTAGTACAAGTGTTTAATAGGTTTTTGTGGATTCTATTGATGATGTCTTGAACTTGTAGTAGTTTCTAGGCTCCTGTGGAGTACCCTATAAAATACCCTATAAAACAAAAGTTGAGGCCAGGTGTAGTGGCTCATGCTTGTAATCTCAGCATTTTAGGAGGCAAGGCAGGACAATCGCTTGAGCTCAGGAGTTTGAGGCCTGCCTGAGCAACATAGAGAGACCTCACCTCTACTAAAAATTGAAAAAATTAGCTGGGTGTGGTAGTGTATGACTGTAGCCCCAGCTACTCAGAAGACTGAGCCAAGAGGATCTCTTGAGCCCGGGAGTTCGAGACCGCAGTGAGCCATGATCATGCCACTGCACTCCAGCCTGGGTAGCAGAGCAAAACCCTGTCTCGGGGGTGGAAAAAAAAAAAAAAAAAAAGAAGAAGAAGAAAGAAAGGAAAGAAAGAAAGAAAAGGAAACAGATATTGAGCATGTATAAATTGGAGAAGTGAGTCCATCCAAGTTGCCCAGGTCACGGCTTTAAAGCAGCAGATGAAGACTTGAACTTAGTAACACACAGCATGATGTGATAGCTCCAATTTAGTGCTCGCAAGGGTTATCTGGAGAAAAGGAGCAAACGTAGGTGGGGACAACAACATGACTTTGCCTCTTCAGAAACACAATAAAACCCCTTTCCAGGGCAGTCCTTGGTGCTGGTTAATGATCCCTATTTAATTTTTTTTTTTTTTTTTTTTTGAGAAGGAGTCTCACTCTGTCACCCAGGCTGGAGTGCAGTGGCGCAATCTCGGCTCACTGCAACCTCTGCCTCCCAGGTTCATGCCATTCTCGTGTCTCAGCCTCCCGAGTAGCTGGGACTACAAGCGCCCACCACCACGCCGGGCTAACTTTTTGTATTTTTAGTAGAGACAGGGTTTCACCATGTTAGATAGAATGCTCTTTATCTCCTGACCTTTTGATCCACCTGCCTTGGCCTACCAAAGTGTTGGGATTACAGGTGTGAGCCACTGCACCCAGCCTGATCCCTATTTAAAAAAATGTTCTGGTAAAATGAGCTCTTCCTGTATCCTAATTCCTTTGGAAAAGATTCAAAATAAGTACAAATGAGACTTGATTTTGTGTTATAAATGTTGAAGTGAAGCTTCAATGGTTCTGTTTTATTTTGTTTTCAATTTTGTATTTCTCATCTCATTTTTCTATATCTTATCAAATTATTACATACATGTATATACTATGTATATATACATTTTTATATATGTACCTGCATGCGTATACACATATATGTGTATATATGTACATAGATACATAGTGTTTTCTACTCCAAGCAACAAAACCATACCAATTTTCATTTCATTAAACACCCACTCTATTGTGGCATAACATAAATATATCCAGAGTAAATATTTAAAAATATTTGTTCAACATAATTTGCTAATAGGAAAGAATTCATGTTCATTAAAATGTATAATTACTTTTACACCATATGCTCGTCTGATGTAAAATAAAGTTAGAGTTTTTAAAGAGACACCTATGGCTTCAAAATTAGATTGCATAGAATATCCTGTTCTTCTAAGCATAAAATGTGCTTTATGACTTTCACTGAAAGTCTGGAGATGGGAGAAGTGTCATTGGTAACACCTAACCTCAATTCCAACTTTAGTTGTATATTATTACATGTTCCTTCCTCTGCAGACATAATGCTGTTGTCCTTCAGCATTTTTAGTTTGTGGATTCAATCTTGAAAATATATTGGTCTACAATCAGCTGCAGTTGGAGGCTCCCACTGAGAAGAATGAAAACAGTGAGTGAATCCTGCACCAGCAACTAAGGTATCTAGGTTCTCTCATTGGGACTGACTAGGAGGTTGGCACAACCCAAGGAGAGCAGGGAAAAGCAGGGTAGAGCGACGGCCCATCCAGGAGCTGAATGGGGCAAGGGGAACTCCCACTCCCAACCAAGGGAGGTGTTGAGTAATTGTGCTGCCTCACCCAGGAAACCATGTTTTTTTCCATGGATTTGTGCAATTGTACATCAGGAGATCCCCTTGTAAGCTCATGCTATAAGGTCCTTGGGTCCTAAGCACAGAGCTGTGCAGATTCTCAGTAGCTGCTTGGCTGAAGACTGCCTAAGACTACCCAGTTCCTGGGGGCATGGGTGGCTGTCATCACCGTGGCTGCCTGCTGCCTAAGATGACTGAGCTCCCGAGGGGAGAGACAGCAGCCATCACTGTAGCTCCAGTTGGCCTTTTTCTCTTGCCAGTGCTGGGGAGACTGGGTGATTTGGCCCCAGGAGGAATTCCCCACAGTGCAGCACAGCAGCTGTGGCAGACTGTGGCCAGACTGACTCTTTAGGCCGTACCAGGAGCCATCCCTCCTCATCAGACAGGGTCTGGGAATTTCAGCAACTATAGCCAGGGGTTTAGGGACAGAACTTTAATCTCCCTGGGATGGAGGCCCTGCAGGGAGAGGCAGCTGGAGTCCCCATGGATCAGCAGACTTAGTCTTTTCCCTTACTGGCTCTGAGGAATCCGGGCAGTCCAGACAAGTGGGATTCCCCCAAGCGCAGAGCTCCTCGTCCACCAAGGGGCAGCCGGAGTGCTTCATTAAGCAGGTCCCTGGTCTTGCGCCTCCTGACTGGGTGAGACCCCCCAACAGGGGTTGCCAGACACCTTATACTGGAGCATTCCTGCTGGCATCAGGCTGGTGCCTCTCTGGGATTGAGCTCCCAGAGGAAGGAGCAGGCAGCCATCTTTGCTGCTGTGCAGCCTCCACTGGTGACACCTCCAGGTGTGGGAGGGACCCAGGCAAATAGGATCTAGAGTGGCCCCCCCAGCAAATCACAGCAGCCCTACAGAAGAGGGGCCAGACTGTTAAAAGAAAAACAAACAAACAGAAGGCAACAAAAACAACACAGTCAACAAAAAAGTACCCATAAAAACTCCATCCACACGTCAGCAACCTCAAAGATCAAAGGTAGATAAACTTGTGAAGATGTGAAGAATCAATGAAAAAACACACTGAAAACTCAAAAGCCAGAGTTCCTCTTCTCTTCTAGATGATGACAACACCTCTCCAGCAAGGAGCCAGAACTGGGCTGAGGCTGAGCTGGATGAACTGGCAGAAACAGGCTTCAAAATGTGGGTAATAATGAACTTTGATGAGCTAACAGAGTATGTTCTATCCCAGTGCAAAGAAGTTAAGAACCATCATAAAATGTTAGAGGAACATAAACGACTTGATAGAGCTGAAAAACACAACATGAGAACTTCACAATGTAATCACAAGTATCAATAGCCGAATAGACCAAGCAGAGGAAAGAATATCAGAGCTTGAACACTATCTTGCTAAAATAAGACAGGCAGAAAAGATTAGAGAAAAAAAATGAAAAGGAATGAACAAAACCTCCAAGAACTATGGGATTATGTAAAAAGACTGAACCTATAACTGATTAGGGTACCTGAAAGAGGCAGGGAAAATGGAACCAACTTGGAAAACATACTTCAGGATATCATCTAGGAGAACTTTCCCAACCTAGCAAGGCAGGTCAACCTTCAAATTCAGGAAACACAGAGAACTCCAGTAAGATACTCCAAGAGAAATCAACCCCAAGACACATAATCATCAGATTCTCCAAGGTCAAATGAATAAAAAAAGTTAAGGGCAGCCAGAGAGAAAGGCCAAGTCACCTACAAATGGAAGCCCATCAGACTAACAGCAGACCTTGCAACAGAAACCCTATGGCCAGAAGAGATTAGGGGCCAGTATTCAACATTCTTAAAGAAAAGAATTTCCAACTGAGGATTTCATACCCAGCCAAACTTTCCTTCATAAATGAAGGAGAAATAAAGTCCTTTTCAGGCAAGCAAATGCTGAGGGACTTTCACACCACCAGGACTGCCTTGCAAGAGCTCCTGAAGGAAGCACTAAATGTAGAAAGGAAAAAACATTACCAGCCACTACAAAAACAAACTGAAGTACACAGACCAACAACACAATGAAGTAACTACATAAACAAGACTATAAAATAACCAGCTAGCATCATGATGACAGGATCAAATTCACATGTAACAATATTAACCTTAAATGTAAATGGGCCCAGTTAAGACACACAATGGCAAGCTTGATAAAGAGTCAAGACTCATTGGTGTGCCGTATTCAAGATACCCATTTCACATGCAAAGACACACATAGGCTCAAAATAAAGGGATGGAGGAAAATCTACTAAGCAAATGGAAAGCAAAAAAAAACAAAAAAACAAAAACAAAAACAAAAAAAAACAAAAAAAAAAACAGGGGTTGCAATCCTAGTTTCTTACAAAACAGACTTTAACCAAGAAAGATCAAAAAAGACAAGGAAGGACATTACATAATGGTAAAGGGTTCAATTCAACAAGAAGAGCTGACTAACCTAAATATATATGCACCCAATACAGGAGCACCCAGATTCATAAAACAAGCTCTTAGAGACCTTCAAAGAGACTTAGACTCCCACACAATAATGGTGAAAGATTTAACACCCTGTTGTCAATAGTAGACAAATCATCAAGATAGAAAATTAACAAAGATATTCAGGATTGAACTCAGCTTAGTCAAGTGGACTTGACAGATATCTACAGAACTCTCCACCCAAAAACAACAGAATATACCTTTTTCTCAGTGCCACATGGCACTTACTCTAAAATTGATAACATAATTGGAAGTAAAACAATCTTCAGCAAACGCAAAAGAACTGAAATCATAACAAACAGTCTCTCAGACCACAGAGCAATCAAATTAGAAGATTAAGAAACTCACTCAAAACCACAAAACTACATGGAATTTAAACAACCTGCTCCTGAATGATACCCGCTGGTGATACCCAGGCAAACAGCATCTGGGGTGGACCTCCAGCAAACTCCAACACATCTCCTGGGTAAATAATGAAATTAAGGCAGAAATCAAGAAGTTCTTTGAAACCAATGAGAGCAAACAAACAATGTACAGAATCTCTGGGATGCAGATAAAGCAGTGATAAGAGGAAAATTTATTGCACTAAATGCCCACATCAAAAAGCTAAAAAGATCTCCAATCTACATCCTAACATCACAATTAAAAGAACTAGAGAACCAAGAGCAGACCCCAAAGCTAGCAGAAGACAAAAAATGTCCAAGATGAGAGCAGAACTGAAGGAGATAGAGACACAAAAGACTATTCAAAAAATCAATGAATCTAGTAGCTGTTTTTTCAAAAAAATTAATAATATGGATAGACTGCTAGCTTGATTAATAAAGAAGAAAAGCGAAAAGAATCAAACAGATACAACAAAAAATGATAAAGGGGATATCACCACTGACCCAACAGAAATACAAACTGCCATCAGATAATACTATAAACACCTCTAACCTAATAAACTAGAAAATCCAGAAGATATGGATAAATTCCTGGACACATACACCCTCCCAAGACTGAACCAGGAATAAGTTGAATCCCTTAATAGACCAATAAAATGTTCTGAAATTGAGGCAGTAATAGTCTACCAACCAAAAAAAGCCCCGGACCAGGCAGGTTTACAGCTGAATTCTACCAGAACTACAAAGAGGAGCTGGTACCATTTCTTCTAAAACTATTCCAAACAATTGGAAAGGAGGGAATCCTCTGTAACTTATTTTATGAGGTCAACATCATCCTGATACCAAAACCTTGCAGAGATACAACAACAACAAGAAAACTTCAGGCCAATATCCCTGATGAACATCAATGCAATAATCTTCAATAAAATACAAACCAAATCCAGCAGCACATCAAAAAGATTATCTACCACAATCAAGTTGGCTTCATCCCTGAGATGCAAGGCTGGTTCAACATATGCAAACCAATAAACATAATTCATCACATGAACAGAACTAAAGACAAAAACCATGTGATCGGTCCATTCCAAGATGGTGGAATAGGAAGAGCTCCAGTCTGCAGCTCCCAGTGTGGTCCACGCAGAAGATGGGTGATTTCTGCATTTCCAACTGAGGTACCTGGTTCATCTCATTGGGACTGGTTGGACAGTGGGTGCATCCCACGGAGGGCGAGCCAAAGCAGGGTGGGGCATTGCCTCACCTGGGAAGTGCAAGGGGTCAGGGGATTTCCCTCTTCTAGCCAAGGGAAGCCATGACAGATGGTACCTGGAAAAATGGGACCCTCCTGCCCAAATACTGTGCTTTTCCAACAGTCTTAGCAAACGGCACACGAGATTATATCCCATGCCTGGCTCGGTGGGTCACATGCCCATGGAGCCTTGCTCCCTTCTAGCACAGCAGTCTGAGATCCACCTGTGAGGCAGCAGCCTGGCAGGGGGAGAGGCGTCCACCATTGCTGAGGCTTGAGTAGGTAAACAAATCAGCCAGGGAAGCTCGAACTGGGTGGAACCCACCACAGCTCAGCCAAGCCTGCTGCCTCTGAAGACTCCACCTCTGGGGGCAGGGCATAGCTGAACAAAATGCAGCAGAAACTTCTGCAGACTTAAACATCCATGTCTGACAGCTCTGGAGAGAGCAGTGGTTCTCCCAGCATGGTGTTCAAGCTTGGAGAATGGACAAACTTGCCTCCTCAAGTGGGTCCCTGACCCCCATGTAGCCTAACTGGGAGACACCTCCTAGTAGGGGCCGACTGACACCACATACAGGTGGGTGCCCCTCTGGGATGAAGCTTCCAGAGGAAAGATCAGGCAGTGATATTTGCTGTTCTGCAATATTTGCTGTTCTGCAGCATCCGCTGGTGATACCCAGGAAACCAGGGTCTGGAGTGGACCTCCAGCAAACTCCAACAGATCTGTAGCTGAGGGACCTAACTGTGAGAAGGAAAACTAACAAACAGAAAGGAATAGCAACAACATCAGCAAAAAGGATGTCCACACAAAAACCCCATCTGTAGGTCACCAACATCAAAGAACAAAGGTATATAAAACCACAAAGATGGGGAGAAACCAAACCAGTACAGCTGAAAATTCTAAAAACCAGAGCGCCTCTTCTCCTCCAAAGGATCGCAGCTCCTCGCCATCAATGGAACAAAGCTGGACAGAGAATGACTTTGACAAGCTGACAAAAGTAGGCTTCAGAAGGTCAGTAATAACAAACTTCTCTGAGCTAAAGGAGGATGTTCGAACCCATCGCAAGGAAGCTAAAAAACCTTGAAAAAAGACAGAGAAATGGCTAACTAGAATAAACAGTGTAGAGAAGACCTTAAATGACCTGATGGAGGTGAAAACCATGGCATGAGAAGTACATGATGCATGCACAAGCTTCAATAGCCAATTCGATCAAGTGGAAGAAAGGGTATCAGTGATTGAGGATCAAATTAATGAAATAAAGTGAGAAGAGAAGTTTAGAGAAAAAAGAGTAAAAAAGGCCAGGCTCGGTGGCTCACGCCTGTAATCCCACCACTTTGGAAGGCTGAGGCAGGCAGATCATGAGGTCAGGAGATCGAGACCATCCTGGCTAATATGGTGAAACTCCATCTCCACTAAAAATACAAAAAATTAGCCAGGCATGGTGGCAGGCACCTGTAGTCCCAGCTACTAGGGAAGCTAAGGCAGGAGAATGGCATGAACCTGGGAGGTGGAGATTGCAGTGAGCCAAGATCATGCCACTGCACTCCAGCCTGGGTGACAGAGTGAGACTCAAAAAAAAAAAAAAAAAAAAAAAAAAGAGCAAAAAGAAATGAACAAAGCCTCCAAGAAATATGGGACTATGTGAAAAGACAAAATCTACGTTTGATTGGTGTACTTGAAAGTGACAGGGAGAATGGAACCACGTTGGAAAACGCTCTTCAGGATATTATCCAGGAGAACTTCCCCCACCTAGCAAGGCAGGCCAACATTCAAATTCAGTGAATACAGAGAACATCACAAAGACATTCCTTGAGAAGAGCAACCCCAAGACACATAATTATCAGATTCACCAAGGTTGAAATGAAGGAAAAAATGTTAAGGGCAGCCAGAAAGAAAGGTCGGGTTACCCAGAAAGAGAAGCCCATCAGACTAACAGCGGATCTCTTGGCAGAAACTCTGCAAGCCAGAAGAAAGTGGGAGCCAATATTTAACATTCTCAAAGAAAAGAATTTTCAGCCCAGAATTTCATATCCAGCCAAACAAAGCTTCACAAGTGAAGGAGAAATAAAATCCTTTACAGATAAGCAAACGCTGAGACATTTTGTCACCACCAGGCCTGCCTTACAAGAGATCCTGAAGGAAGCACTAAATATGGAAAGGAAAAACGGGTACCAGCCACTGCAAAAAACATACCAAATTGTAAAGACCATTGATGCTAGGAAGAAACTGCATCAACTAATTGGCAAAATAACCAGCTAACATAATAATGACAGGATCAAATTCACTCATAACAATATTAACCTTAAATGTAAATGGGCTAAATGCCCCAATTAAAAGACACAGACTGGCAAATTGGATAGAGTCAAGACCCATCAGTGTGCTGTTTTCATGCGACCCATCTCACATGCAGAGACACACATAGGCTCAAAATAAAGGGATGGAGGAATATCTACCAAGCAAATGGAAAGCAAAAAAAAAAAAAAAAAGCAGGGGTTGCAATCCTAGTCTCTGATAAAACAGACTTTAAACCAACAAAGATCAAAAGAGACAAAGAAGGCCATTACATAATGGTAAAGGGATCAATTCAACAAGAAGAGCTAACTATCCTAAATATATATGCACCCAATACAGGGGCACCCAGATTCATAAAGCAAGTTCTTAGAGACCTACAAAGAGACTTAGACTCCCACACAATAATAATGGGACAATTTAACACCCCACTGTCAATATTAGACAGATCAATGAGACAGAAGGTTAATAAGGATATCCAGGACTTGAACTCAGCTCTGCACCAAGCAGACCTAATAGACATCTACAGAACTCTCCACCCCAAATCAACAGAATATACATTCTTCTCAGCACCACATCGCACTTATTCCAAAATTGACCACATATTTGGAAGTAAAGCACTCCTCAGCAAATGTAAAAGAATAAAAATCACAACAAACTGTCTCTCAGACCACAGTGCAATCAAATTAGAACTCAGGATTAAGAAACTCACTCAAACCTGCACAACTACATGGAAACTGAATAACCCGCTCCTGAATGACTACTGGGTAAATAACAAAATTAAGGCAGAAATAAAGATGTTCTTTGAAACCAATGAGACCAAAGACACAACGTACCAGAATCTCTGGGACACATTTAAAGCAGTGTGTAGAGGGAAATTTATAACACTAAATTCCAACAAGAGAAAGCAGGAAAGATCTAAAATTGACACCCTAATGTCACAATTAAAAGAACTAGAGAAGCAAGAGCAAACAAATTCAAAAGCTAGCAGAAGGCAAGAAATAACCAAGATCAGAACAGAACTGAAGGAGATAGAGACACAAAAAAAAACTTCAAAAAAATCAATGAATATAGGAGCTTGTTTTTTGAAAAGATCAACAAAATTGATAGACCTCTAGCAAGACTAATAAAGAAGAAAAGAGAGAAGAATCAAATACAGGTGATAAAAAATGATAAAGAGGATATCACCACCGATCCCACAGAAATACAAACTACCATCAGAGAATACTATAAACACTTCTACTCAAATAAACTAGAAAATCTAGAAGAAATGGATAAATTCCTGGACACATACACCCCCCCGAGACTAAACCAGGAAGAAGTTGAATGTCTGAATAAACCAATAACAGGCTCTGAAATTGAGGCAATAATTAATAGCCTAACAACCAAAAAAAGGCCAGGACCAGACGGATTCACAGCCGAATTCTATCAGAGTTACAAAGAGGAGCTGGTACCATTCGTTCTGAAACTATTCCAATCAATAGAAAAAGAGGGAATCCTTCTTAACTCATTTTATGAGGCCAGCATCATCCTGATACCAAAGCCTGGCAGAGACACAACAAAAAAAGAGAATTTTAGACCAATATCCCTGATGAACATCGATGCAAAAATCCTCAATAAAATACTGGCAAACCGAATCCAGCAGCACATCAAAAACCTTATCCACCATAATCAAATCGGTGTTATCACTGGGATGCAAGGCTGGTTCACCATATGCAAATCAATGAACATAATCCATCACATAAACAGAACCAATGACAAAAGCCACGTGATTATCTCAATAGATGCAGAAAAGGCCTTCGACAAAATTCAACAACCCTTCATGCTAAAAACTCTCAATAAACCAGGTATTGATGGAACATATCTCAAAATAATCGGAGCTATATATGACAAACCTACAGCCAATATCATTCTGAATGGGCAAAAACTGGAAGCATTCCCTTTGAAAACTGGCACAAGACAGGGATGCCCTCTCTCACCACTCCTATTCAACATAGTGTTGGAAGTTCTGGCCAGGGCAATCAGGCAAGAGAAAGAAATAAAGCATATTCAATTAGGAAAAGAGGAAGTCAGACTGTCCCTGTTTGCAGATGACATAATTGTATATTTAGAAAACCCCATCATCTCAGCCCAAAATCTCCTTAAGCTGATAAACAACTTCAGCAAAATCTCAGGATACAAAATCAATGTGCAAAAATCACACACATTCCTGTATACCAATAACATGCAAACAGAGAGCTAGATCCTGAGTGAACTCCCATTCACAATTGCTACAAAGAGAATAAAATACCTAGGAATCCAACTTACAAGAGATGTGAAGGACCTCTTCAAGAAGAACTACAAATTGTACACTGCTCAATGAAATAAAAGAGGACCCAAATAAATAGAAGAACATTCCATGCTCATGGTTAGAAAGAATCAATATCGTGAAAATGGCCATACTGCCCAAGGTAATTTATAGATTCAATGCCACCTCCATCAAGCTACCAATGACTTTCTTCACAGAATTGGAAAAAATGACTTTAAAGTTCATATGTCTTAGCATTGCCAAGACAATCCTAAGCCAAAAGAACAAAGCTGGAGGCATCACGCTACCTGACTTCAAACTATACTACAAGGCTACAGTAACCAAAAAGCACGGTACTGCTACCAAAACAGAGATATAGATCAATGGAACAGAACAGAGGCATCAGAAATAACACCACACATCTACAACCATCTGATCTTTGACAAACCTGACAAAAACAAGCAATGGGGAAAGGATTCTCTATTTAATAAATGGTGCTGAGAAAACTGGCTAGCCATATGTAGAAAGCTGAAAGTGGATCCCTTCCTTACACCTTATACAAAAATTAATTCAAGATGGATTAAAGACTTAAACGTTAGACCTAAACCCATAAAAACCCTAGAAGAAAACCTAGGCAATACCATTCAGGACATAAGCATGGGCAAGGACTTCATGACTAAAACACCAAAAGCAATGGCAACAAAAGCCAAAATTGACAAATGGGATCTAATTAAACTAAAGAGCTTCTGCACAGCAAAAGAAACAGCCATCAGAGTGAACGGCAACTTACATAAAGGGAGAAAATTTTTGCAATCTACCCATCTGACAAAGGGCTAATATCCAGAATCTACAAAGAACTTAAACAAATTTACAAAGAAAAAAAAACCCATCAAAAAGTAGGCAAAGTGTATAAGCAGACACTTCTCAAAAGAAGACATTTATGCAGCCAACAGACAAATGAAAAAATGCTCATCATCACTGGCCATCAGAGAAATCCAGATCAAAACCACAGTGAGATACCATCTCACACCAGTTAGAATGGCGATCATTAAAAAGTCAGGAAACAACAGATGCTGGAGAGGATGTGGAGAAATAGGAACGCTTTTACACTGTTGGTGAAACTAGTTCAACCATTGTGGAAGACAGTGTGGTGATTCCTCAAGGATCTAGAACTAGAAATACCATTTGACCCAGCAATCCCATTACTGGGTATATACCCAAAGGATTATAAACCATTCTACTATAAAGACACATGCACACGTGTGTTTATTGCGGCACTATTCACAATACAGACTTGGGACCAATCCAAATGTCCATCAATGATAGACTGGATTAAGAAAATGTGACTCATATACACCATGGAATACTATGCAGCCATAAAAAAGGATGAGTTCATCTCCTTTGCAGGGACATGGATGCAGCTGGAAACCATTCTCAGCAAACTATCAGCAAACTATCACAAGGACAGAAAACCAAACACCACATGTTCTCACTCATAGGTTGGAATTGAACGATGAGAACACTTGGACACAGGGTGGGGAACATCACACCCCAGGGCCTGTCATGGGGTGGGGGGCAGGGGGAGGGATAGTATCAGGAGAAATACCTAATGTAAATTACAGGTTAATGGATGAAACAAACCAACATGGCACATGTATACCTATGTAACAAACCTGCACGTTTTGCACTTGTACCCTACAACTTAAAGTATAATTTTTAAAAAAGAGAAAAAAAACCATGTGATTATCTCATTAGGTGCAAAAAAGGGACTTCAATAGAATTAAAAATACCTTCATGTTAAAAACTCTCAATAAACTAGGTATTGATGGAACATACTTCAAAATAATAAGAACTATTTATAACAAACCCACACCCAATATCATACTGAATGGGCAAAACCTGGAAGCATTCCCCTGGAAAACTGGCATAAGACAAAGATGCCCTCTCTCACCACTCCTATTCAGCATAATATTGGAAGTTCTAGCAAGAGCAATCAGGCAAGAGAAAGAAATAAAGTGTATCCATATAAGAAGAAAGGAAGTCAAACTGTCTCTATTTGCAGATGACATGATCCTATATCTACAAAAGTCCATCCTCTCAGCCCAAAAGCTTCTTAAGCTGATAAGCAACTTCAGCAAAGTCCTGGGGTAAAATATCTGTGTGCAAAAATCATAAGCATTCCTATATACCAACAATAGACAAGCAGAGAACTAAATCATGAATGAACTCCCATTTACAATTGCTACAAAGAGAATAAAATAACTAGGAATACAGCTAACAAGGGAAATGAAGGACCTCTTCAAGAAGTACACACCACTGCCCAAAGAAATCAGAGAGGACCCAAACAAATGGAAAAACATTCTATGCTCAAGGAAAGAAAGAATCAATATTGTGAAAATGGCCATACTGCCCAAAGCAATTTATAGATGCAATGGTATTCCCATTAAATTACCACTGACATTCTTCACAGAATTGGAAAAAAACTACTTTAAAATTCATATGGAACCAAAAAAGAACATGAATAGCCAAGACAATCCTAAGCAAAAAGAACAAAGCTAGAGGCATCACACTACCTGACTTCAAACTATATTATAAGCCTACAGAAACCAAAACAGCATGGTACTGGTAGAAAAACAAACACATAGACCAATGGAACAGAATAAAGAACTCAGAACCAAGACCATGCATCTACAACCATCTGATCTTCAACAAACCTGACAAAATCAAGCCATGGGGAAAGAATTCCCTATTTAATAAACGGTGCTGGAAGAAATGACTAGCCATTGCAGAAAATTGAAACTGGACCCCTTCTTTACACCTTATACAAAAATTAACTCATGATGGATTAAAGACTTAAATGTAAAACCAAAAGCTATAAAACCCTAGAAGAAAATCTAGGCAATATCATTCAGAACATAGGCACTGGCAAAGATTTCATGATGAAAACTTTTGTCAAGCAAAAATTGACAAATGGGATCTAACAGACAGCCTCCAGAATGGGAGAAAATTTTTCAATCTCTCCATCTGACAAAGGTCTAATATCCAGAATCATAAGGAACTTAAACAAATTTACAAGAAAAAAAAACAAACTATCCCATTAAAAAGTACATGAACAGGCAAAGGACATGAACAGACACTTCTCAATGCCCATCAAAAACCACAATGAAATACTGTCTCATGCCAGTCAGAATGGCAATTATTAAAAAGTCCAGAAACAACAGATGCTGGTGAGGCTGTGGAGAAAAGGAACACTTTTACACTGTTGGTGGGAATGTAAATTAGTTTAACCATTGTAGAAGACAGTGTGGCAATTCCTCAAAGACCTAGAACCAGAAATACCATTTGACACAGCAATCCCATTACTGGGTATATAACCAAAGGAATATAAATTATTCTATTGTAAAAATATATGCACATGTATGCTCATTGCAGCACCATTTACAATAGCAAAGACATGGAATCAACCCAAATGCCCATCAATGATAGAACGGATAAAGAAAATGTGGTACAAATATGCCATGGAATACTATGAAGCCATAAAAAAGGAACAAGATCATGTCCTTTTCAGGGACATAGATGGAGCTGGAAGCCATTACCCTCAGCAAACTAACAAAAGAACAGAAAACCAAACACCACATGTTCTCACTTATAGGTGGAAGCTGAACAATGAGAACACATGGACACAGGGAGGAGAACAACACACACACTGGGGCCTTTTGCAGGGATCAGGGGAACAAGGGGAGAGAGAGAATCAGGAAAAACAGCTAATGCATGCTGGGCTTAATACCTAGGTGATGGGCTGATATGTGCAGCAACACACTCACCATGGCGCACGTTTACCTACGTAATAAACCTGTACATCCTGCACATGTATCCCAGAACTTAAAATAAAATATAAATAAAATAATAGGAAAAAAAAGAAAATATATTATCAACCTAATGGGGGAGAAATGATGATATGCTATGCACATTGCTTTAGACAACAAATGTTATTCTTATCCTACAAATATTGTGAAAATGTCCGAGAGCCAAGAAGTCAGGACCAGCTAGGTGGGAGCTTCCCTGGAGAGTCACTTATGCCTAGGGGTTTATTGGGGCTGGGGCAAACATGGAAAGGCTAATATATCATGAATCTTTTAAGTTGTAAATGATGGAAATATAATTTAAGCAAGCTTAAGCACAAAAGGGTATCAACACACGCTACTAAAAGTCCAAGAATAGTACTTACTTCAGGCATTGTTACATCTAGAGGACAAATGTTACCAGGACTGTCTCTTTCCTTTTCTTGGAAAGGCTCTCTCCTCCACATGGTGAGCAAACAGCCACTCTCTATAGAAGACTCACATTCCCTTGTTTAGAAATCCTACCAAAATGAATGGGGGGTTTTGTTTTGTTTGTTTGTTTGTTTGTTTGTTTGTTTTGCTAGCTTTGGCAGAAAACTCCAAGGGAGAGCACATCTAGAGTCACGTGTCTGTGCTTAAATCAATCATTGTACCAGGAGATGTGATGGTCTGATTGGCCTGACCTGGTTCTTGTATCTCTTCTATGTTGAGGGTGAGGAGAAGAATCAGAATTGGCTCCATTGAAGCTAAATAGAATAGGAAGAGGTAATGTATCATCAGAGGAATGTGAAAAGATGCTGGGTGGGCCAGAACACAGATGCCTCCTGCTAAGGAATGTAACAAGACAGTGGTCCATGGATGAATCTACAGTTAGAAAGAGCCAATTTTAAGGAGCAAGTAAAGTACTTAAAATAAAAATTATTCATATCCCATTTACTGAGATCCTATTGGATGCTAGGAAGTGTCTTAAGAGCTAGAGACATAAACAAAACGGAAAGTTCTTACTTTTATGAAGCTTATATTCTAGTAATGGAAGATAGGTAAATAAAATAATTAAGTAAAGGATATAGTATTTTAAATAGAATTAAGACCTATGTCTATTTGAAATATTTTTATAGGAAGGGTAGTAGAAAATATTAATGGGCTGGTCTTTGAAGGCTTCAATGAAAAGGTAATATTTGAGAAATGACCTAGAAAGTGCCATGTGAATATCTGTGGAAGAGCATTCCAACCAGAAAAAAAGCAGAAAGGCAAAGGCAGGAATGCAGTAATGGAGAGCCGAAAATGCAAAGTCAGGAGTGGAATAGAGAAGGATAACGATGAGGTCATTGTGGCTGAATCTCTCAGCTGGTCGTTTAGTGAATGAATATAACTTAGATTCATGTGGTAGTTTGTTGCCCCAAGTTCATCATCAGGTATGATACGTGAAAGCGCTGAGTTCTCACGGAAATACTTCTCACTCTTGGACAAGGGTATCTTGGTACCCCTAAGGGAAGTTTGTGAAGCCAAAGGAAGGGAAAAAGAGATAGAGACTGATAGACAAGAATTAGAAGTCATTTATTCATTCATCCATTCATCCATTTATTTAGTTTGGCCTGCTATTTTCAGATGCTTCTGGAGTACAGAACCAAATAGGACAAAATATCCCATGCCATGCCTAAGGGATTTACAGTCCAGCAGGAGTCATCTAAGCAGACAGGGTGGGCTAAATCAAGGAGAAGAAGGCAGGATTCACAAGTCTAGGCTGGCAGTGTGGTTCAGAGGCAGGAGGTCAGAAAGTAGGCAAAGGCAGCACTGTAGAATCCTACTGGTGACCTCTGATGCTAAAGCAAAGGCTGCTGTTCCCCTTCAGGTGGAGGTAATGGTTACAACCTTCACTGAATCTTGATATTGCTAAAACTGGAACAGGGGTGCTGCCTCCCTCATGCTGTCTCTCCATTTCCCCTTACTTAGTGAACACTCCAATGTTCCTAGGCTGGAGATCTTTTGCTTATTTTACTTACTCTAGGAAGAAAGGAGAAGGCATAAGGGAAGGTAGAAAAAGAAAAACAGATGCCAGTGTTTCTCCTTTCATTTCTATGCTTGTTCTATTTTTCCAACGTGGCAGAAAAAAAATTTTAAAGCATATTTTTCCTCCCATGCTTTTTTTCTAATTCCAAAAGAGAGTTATATCCTTTTTACTTCTAAATGTAAAATGAAATAGCCATATTCTTATCTATAGCTTAAACATAAATTTGTACCCATGGTGAGTTAATTAATTAGCACTTGTTTCCCACAACACTCCAATTTATAAAAGGTTCTACTTGATCAGCTTCTTCAGGAGTACAATTTTTCTTTTTCTTTTAAACTTTTACTTTAAGTTCAGGTGTACAAATGCAGGTTTATTACATAGGTAAACTTGTGTCATGGAGATTTGCTGTACAGATTATTTCATCACCCAGGTATTAAGCCTAACATCCATTAGTTATTTTTTCCGGATCCTCTTTCTCCTCCCACCCTGTACCCTCTGGAAAGGCCTCAGTGTATGTTCCCTTCTATGTGTCCATGTGTTCTCATCATTTAGTGTGTGGCATTTGGTTTTCTGTTTCTGTGTTAGTTTGTTAAGAATAATGGCCTCCAGCTCCATTCATGTCCCTATGAAGACATGATCTCATTCTTTTTTGTGGCTTCATAGTAAGAACACAATTTTTCAAATGACCACGTCTAGTTTCATAACTGTACTCTTCCCAAGTGCAACCCTGAAGAGTGGTTGGCATTATAAACTGGTGCTTTGGTTTGATAGACCCAGTTTTATTCTAGTTTAGTTTTTAATGTATTTTCAGAGGGTTTAGATAGATCATGAATTCTTACTTCTCCATAGCCCAAACCAGTTTCTAACCACTCCTTGTTGTCTGTATCCAGCTGTTTTATAATCTATACTAAGTCAGTTTTGGCTGCAGTAACAAAAGTACCTCAGACCAGGTGGCATATAAACAATAGAAATTTATTTTTCACAATTCTGGAGGCTGGAAGTCTAAGATCAGGATGGTAGCATGGTCAAGTTCTGTTGAGGGCCCTCTTTCAGGTTGCAGAGGCCGCTATCTTGCTGTATCCCCACATGGAAGAAAGACAGAGAAATCTCATGTCCCTTCCTCATTTAATAAGGGCACTGATTCCATCGGAGTGGGGGGTGGTCTACCCTCATGGTGTAATTACTTCCAAATGCTCCACCTCTAAATACCATCACATTGGAAATTAGGCTTCAACATATAAATTTTAAGGGGACACTAACAGTCAGTTCATAGCAATGCCTTCTCTAAAAAGCAGGGAAACTTCTTAGTTATCTTACTAACTTTCTAGGAATATTAGATATTTAATTCCCAGGTCCTCATGCCCCACCCATTCTCAAGCATTACAATCCATGGTTATCACTAAGACCTCACATAATCACAGCTGCCTAATGGTCCTCAGAAAATGTTTGGGAACCAATGATTCTACTATTCCCTTTGGGAGCAGCAGGGCCAGGATTAGGGTGAGGCAAGTTAAGACTACTTGCCTTAAGTGCAAAATGTAAGGTTACATCAAAAAATTAGTAATCAAGATAGTATTGGGGCCGGGCACAATGGCTTACACCTGTAATCCTAGCAGCACTTTGGGAGGCTGAGGGAGGTGGCACTTGAGGTCAGGAGTTCAAGACCAGTCTGGCCAACATGGTGAAACCCCATCTCTACCAAAAAATACAAAAATTAGCTGGGTGTGGTGGCAAGCATCTGTAATCTCAGCTACTCAGGAGGCTGAGGCAGGAGAATCACTTGAACCCGGGTGATGGAGGTTGCAGTGAAGTGAGATTGTGCCACTTCACTCCAGCCTGGGTGACAGAGTGAGACTGTCTGACAAAAAAAAAAAAAAGTATTTTAATGTAATATTTCAAAATTCAAAATTAATGCAAAAATATCTATGGAAAAACAAATACCAAAATTTTAAATAGAGACAGACTATTTGCTTTATGACTATATTATTGTGCAATAGAATAAGTCCCTTCCACTCAGCCCTCAGTTTACTGGTCTGGCAAATCAATACAGTCCACCAGTCCACCAGGAGGCATGTTTACGAAGGTTGACAACAGCGCATCAACGGATTGGGCAACACAGGGTTTTATATATAATCATGTTTTTGTTTGTAGATCTGTTTTTAACTTTCTCACTTCATTGAAACTATGGGACAATACTTTGATAAGTGTATGCAAATGGTCTTCAACTTACAATAGGTTGACTTACGATTTTTCAATTTTACAATGAGTTCATTGGGACATAAACCAATTGTAAGTTAAAGAGCATTTGTATTAGGTTGCACATTTTTCCTTTTGTCTCAGGCTTCTGAGGCTTGGCATGGCACTGGAAAGTCGCAATAGAAACCACAAGATTTAAAGTCCTCTGTCTCTAACATGGCAATCTATATAAAAATCATTTAAAGTACTCATGTCCTTTGAGCTAATTTTTCCACTTTTGTGGATCTGGCTAACAAAATTATATTATAAACACATTATTAAAAATTTGCAGTTGAAAGTCTAAAGTTATTTACAAAACTATATGTATAACATGAGTCCATGTTTGTCTTAAATAGATAAGTGGATGATATATGGGAAGAGAGGAGGCAGTTAGGCAGGTAGACAGATTACCTAAGGCTGAATCTTTAAATATAAATATGGCTTAATTCTGCGTAGTAAACTGTGGATTATTTTTATCTTTTTCCTTATTTATATTTTCTACCTTTCTATAATAAAATAGTATTGCTTGGATAATTAAACAATCAAAGAAACTTAAAATTTAATTACAATTTATGTGCTTCCGTAGCCAGATCTTACACAATATGAGATTAACCGAAATTTTTCTCCTCTATGGAGAGGCATCTCACTTCATTGAAAATGTACTTAGTAAGGTACATCTGTAACACTAAACATGCTGTAATTACCAACCATGACACATATCTGTAAGAAAACAAATCAGGTGACTAATCTTCTGGAAAATGCACATTCAAAATATCTCTGACACCTTGATAATGTTCTCCAAGAGGATTTAATAACTCATCATTCTCATAGCTCAATCTTGTACTCATTCCTTATGACTGAATTTTTATCCATGAAGAAAGGGAAAAAATGAGGTTATAGCGGGGTAAATACGTGACTGAAAATGGTGGTAGACATGGATGCAGGCCTTGCCTACATAACAGGCAGACATGGGCTTTGACCCCCCAGGAAGAAAAATTAGGCAAGAGTTCTATCTAAAATTAAAGACGCCCATGTTTCTAATGCTCATTAGCTGACATTTATCAAGGAGGATCACCAATCATTAAGTTATTTTTATAAGCAGCTTAACAGAAGCTGTGTTTCCATGAGAACAGTCAATGTTGGGAAGGTAAAAAAAAAAAAAAAAGAAATTAATGGAACTTGTAGTGATCTTAATAATGCTGTATGGAACTTATTCATTAATCTGGTTTTCCTGTTGTCTGGGCTTCCATGCCAACTGCAGAACTAACTGGCTTCTCTGGGGGTGTCTGACATTGGGAATAATGCATTTTTGAGAACTCCAAGTGCCTCTAACCCAGGTTACTGACACAGAGTTTTCTAATTCTTCTGTGATTTTTCTTTTGAACTGAGTGTGGGGTGGAATCACTGTAAAAGAACCCTTAGATCACCACAGACTGACCAAGAAAAGTGCAGGATTGGTCAGAGCAACAGGCACAAATTTTATCTTTATTCCCTTTTGAAATCCACAGCAGTAGATTTGCTCTCATGAATTAAATGTTATGTGAAAAAAAAAAGAGGAATCAAGTTTCTTTCTAGATTTCTGACCTAAGCCACTGGGTAGATGATGGTGTAAAAGACAGGAAAATCAGCCAAATGTGGATTGGGTGATAGAGATAAAGAGTTCTATTTTAGAAATCCTTTTATCTTCAAAGAGACTTAAATTGTATTACATCGTAGCTGAACATTTTAGACCCAAATAATAGACCTCAGTCAAAAGACCTTATTTTATACAGACAAGGCAATGATTTTGCTATCAATGAGATGTTGGGTCTGGAGCCCACTGTCTGACCTTATTACTATTTGAAAAAAATCACCTGTCAGTGTTGAGGTCTTTTTGACTTGTCCTCAACCTAGTTTTTATTTTTCAAAGTAGTCCAGATTTAGGTGTTTCAGAATCAACAACTTAGGTTGTTTCTGAACAGAATTTAGAAACTGTATGTTTCTGTGTCTTGAATGGCCTATTCGTCCCAATTGCTCCCTGACTTTGTGTATTGTCTGTAAGTTTGAGTCACATTGTTTTGCATTTAGTGTTAGGGCTGCAATGATTCTTGGTATGTCTTTTGGGGGCCTCTCTATGGTGTCTTAGAGGCTCTATTATGAGCCTCTCTAATGTGTCTTCCTCCACCTTTACAATTCTATTAAGGAACCAAAAGTTTATAAATGAAATAAATTTAGATACTAATAAGTAAAAAAAATTCCCAACCCTAACACAAGTAATAAGACCACTAAACAGTATATACTAATATGTGCCTAAAAGATCATAGGCTATTGCTTTCAGTATAAATAGAGATTCAGCAGAAGATGTTTAGAATTGTATTTTGAAGAAGTTGAATTTTTCCAAGTCATAGGAATGTTGCTTTCAGGTATAGATTTGAGAAAGAGATTAAAGCATTTCTTACCAAAACACAAAAACAAAACAAAAACCTTTGAGGTAAAATAGAATTTTTAAAGCAGTATGTTGCCAGATATCCTATGTGATATAACTTCAATCTATGAATGATCTTTTCAGCAGCTTATTCCACATCTGATGAGACTCTAATCAGATCATGACTGAGCCCCAGACATTCTTGCTTCCAAGTCTTCCATGAAATTCAGATCAACTCAGAATGAAATCAAACTCTTAAATTGTTTTAATATATGTTATTGATACTTTCTAACCTTTTTCTTTAGGTTGTTTCTCCCAATGAAAATTCGACTTAGTGTCAGTGACCAAGGAAAGACCCTGTTGATTCAGTGAGGACTCATTTTTCATATGGCTTCACCTTTCTTTGATTAATTAGGCACTAGCTCTACACAAAGCTGAGCATAGTTACCGAGGTACAGGTTGAAACTCCGAGGATGACTTATTTCATTGATCTTCATTAGTATGAGGACTTTCTCTTTGACTTAGTTGTCTCTTCCTAGCTAGGAAGTTCTATCTGCAGGTGAGGGTAGAAAGCTGAAGGGAACCCCCTGGCCATGCATGTCTATGAGAGGAGACTCAGGGCTAGAGCAGAACATGACATGTTAGGAATCTGCACCAGAATTGATTTAGAAAATGTAGGGAGGGATATAGAGCATAGATACTTCAGGACTTAGAGATATTGCTTTGTTTCTTATAAGAACTGTTTACCTTCTAATAGAAGGCATTTTAAAAACTGGAACTGGAAATTTGAAATGGATGTGCTAAATGTACACCTTTTCTTTATATACTATCAACATCAGCAGGTATAATGATTATAACTAATCAAGAATCTGACAGCTGCCCTGTGTAGGAATTGTAAATTCAACATAATTTATAAGCTGAAAAAGATACAATGGACTGGCTCAATACTTGGGTTAAAATAAATTAATTAAACAAAAGCCTGGGGGTTTCCAAGAGTTGTACACATCTCTATAATGAATTTATTTTTTATAGACAGGGTCACTTTAGGTTGCCTAGGCTGGACTTTTTAACTCCTGAGCTCGAGTTATCTTCCCACCTCAGCCTCCCAAGTAGCTGGAACTACAGGCATGTGCCACCTCGCCCAGCTCCTCTTTGTAATATTTACCTTAGCAAAACCTAGAATAACTTTTCACTGGATAAACTAAACTTCTCTTACATAATGAAAATACTCTTGAGGTTATTTTAGTAAGAGTGAGTCTTAGTGTTTTTTTGTTTGTTTGTTTGTTTGTTTTTGAGATGGAGTCTCTCTCAGTAGCCCAGGCTGGAGTGCAATGGCACAATGTCAGCCTCAGCCTCCCGAGTGGCTGGGATTACAGGCGCCCACCACCATGCCAGGCTAAGTTTTTGTATTTTTTGTAAAGATAGGGTTTCACCATGTTGGATACACTGGTCATAAATTAGTGTCTCTTATGGGCTGAATTGTGCCCTATCCCCCAAATTTATATGTTGAAGCCTTAAGCTCCAGTACCTCAGAATGTGACCTCATTTAAAAATGAGGCTTTGACAGAGGCAATTAAGTTAAAGTGAGGTCATTAGGGTGGGCCCAACTCAGTATCACTAGTATCTTTACAAAATGGGGAAATTTGGACACAAAGACAGGCATAAAGGGAAGATGTGAAGAGGCACAGTTAAAAGATAGCCACCCATAAGCCAAAGAGACAGGCCTGCAACAGATGTCTCCCTCGAGGGCCGGAGCTATTGGTCTTGACCAGAGCCTTAGGCTTCATCTGTGTTTTCTTTATCAGGGTTGCTGATGTAAAACTGAGAGAAGAAAAAGATGAAAATGTAAGACCCTAGCATGTCCAACCAACTAATGAGAAGGTAGAACAGAAACACAGAGCCATTGGACCTTGATTACTCTCATGATTTATTAATATTCGGGTTGAAAAAGGAGCCTTAGAGCCGCAAGTTTACGCTAATTGGCACATTTGCTTTATTTATTTATTTTTAAAACAAACTGGGTTTTTTGAATTTTTTCCTTTTTGTTCATTCCATCACATTGAAAAGGAGGAAAACAAAAATGATTTTGAATTCACTCGATATTTTGGACTCCTCAGATGAACGGAACATTGCACACACACTTGGAACAGAGAGAGAGAGAGAGAGGAAAGTGGACTCCCACAGGGCCACACGCACCAGATCAAATAACTTGGATACAGTGCAAGAATTTCCCAAAATGATTGAATCATCATTACCAAAAACTTGCCATAACAACACCAAGAAACAAAAAATGTTTAAGCCACACTGTTTGACTTGGGATCTTTCCTGCTTTTTTTTTTTTTTTTTAAATGTTTGCCACACAGAGAGAAAGAGGGCTAGTGGGTGGGAAAGGACAGACTCACAGACGTGAGCAGGACAGGAAGGGACTTCAGAGTGGAGCTGAGAAGAGGGTAGGGAGAGACAGGCTCAGGAGAGGGGAGGGTGGGGATGTGGAAAGCCATTTCTTAGAGTTCAGGCATGTTCTTGGTCAGCCTCAGGTTCCTCTTCTTTACCCTCGTCCTGCCGGGCACTTTCCTTAGGTTTGGTTTCATCTACAGCTTCTGAGAAAGAAAACAAGATAGGATGGGGGGAAAAGGAGAGAATTAGTATTTTGTCTTATCTGCTCATACAACAGTGCAATGCATTTCTTCTTTTTATGTCATTTCATAAGAGCATTAAGATTAAAAGAGATTATTAATATCCCAGTTAATGTAGGTTACAAGTTCAGAAGAGTTTACCTCAAGGAAGCTGTTCAGTGGCACCTATGGAAGAACTCAGGAGCAAAGGTATGTGAGTGACAAGGAGACCACTTAACAAAAGTTACTATGGTCTTTAATCTCTCAGCCTTACAATCAAGGTATCCACATACAGGATCTTCACATAGGGAATCAACGACAATCTTGTATTGCTGTTCTATTAGTGTCAGAAGAATTGTGACAGATAATTTATGTGGACCATCGATCATCTAGTCCAAGTTTCTTACCACTCATTTCCAGTATTGAAAAGTGAAGTAGTTGAATTTTCAGCTCCTGTGGGACAGTGCTAGTCAATTATATAGAAATTGAAGTCCCTAGAGAGGGCAGAGTTGGGTTTTGCCCTTCACATTCTCCTATTCCTGATCACTTGGACATCAAACAATACATGGCACTGTAGCAGCTGCCTTGTGACCATGAAGACAAAAACTATACACTAAGGATGGTGGAGCAAAAAGAAAAAATCATCACTGAGTGACTGTACCACTCCTAGATATCTTTCCCTCAGAAACAAGTCACTAGCCTCTTTAAAGCATTGTAATATAATAGTTTTCAGTTTCTTGCAGCCAAGCACATTCCAACTGAATACACTTATCCACAGGGAAAGTACTGCTTTGCTTAACAGGGAGGATATCATGTCTTTTTGAAGAAAAATTTTCCCTTTGTTTCCCGACAGAACTCAGTCAACTGATTTTATGCTCCCTGATAGTTTACTAATATGCTAGCTTGTGGAAAAAGAATTCATTTGCTCTGAAACAACTTGTGTTGCCAAACAATCAACTCCCTGTGTCAGTGTCCCCCAAGACCACCCCTAGGTTCAGTGATTTGCTAGGAGGACTCATGGGACTCAGCATGCAGTCTGCTTCATAACTAAAATTTATTGCAGCGAAAAAACACAAAGCAAAATAAGCAAAGCTGAAAGTTGCGCATGGGCAAAGTTTGGAGGAAACCAAACAAATTTCTAAGAGTCTTCTCCCCATGGAGTCACCCAGGATGTGCTTAATTCTTTCAGCAATAAATTACCATAACACATGGAAGATGTCATCTATTAGGGAAGTTTAACTGAGTGAGTTTGCACTGGTAATAGGTCATGTAGGCACCCTCCAGCAAGCAGGTACAAAATTCAGACTCCCAGAAGAAAAATAGATGTTCAGCATAAACCACATTGTTTGTACTATGATTTTAGGCACCTGGAACCACTCTTATCAGTTAAGGAATGATGAGAATCTTCTCAAAATCCAAGATCCCAGATGCCAGCCAATGGTCAACTTTACAAACAAGCCTTTCTAAGGATAGCAGTCCCAGGCCTACTGTATTAACTGTTTTTTTTTTTCCTCAATCCCTGATATTGACGATGCCTCTGTCTTAAAATGGAGCTATTGTTATTGCTTGTCCTCCTCTTAACAACTACTAGGTGCTGATTATTCTTGGAAAGGTAAACTGGAGTCCATGTAATTTTGTTAGGCTAACAAATTTGTGTTTAATTAGAAGATAACAGACATAGCTTGAAAGCACTTGAGCAAGGAACATAATACAGCTATGCTTTGAGGAGATTAAACTAGGAATACTAAATAAAATAGTTTTACTGTACATAGATGTTGAGATTAGAGAAATGGGGTCATTAAGGAGACCATTAAAAGAGCTCATCAAAATGTATGTCTCTTTTAAATCAGCCAGCTACATATTTACATTCAGATGAAGCTGAACATTTATACCCACCATTATTAAACAAATTTATGGAATTTCTTCTCTGAAATACCTATCAAAAAACATTCTTTTAGAGCTCTTCAGTAGCAGAAATGCTTATTTTTTGAAAATAGGTTAGGTTTTTAGAATCTAACTAGACTAGTCTGGTAAATAAAGTAAGCAGCTACGATGGGTAATTTTACCTTATAATACTCACTTTTGACCAGGGTTTTAAAGTCTGACTTATTTTATAGGGTTCATAACTCACTATAAGCTATTCATAAAATATAGCTATTCTAGTGATGCTACCTACTACTACTTATAAGATTTTTTTAAGGCTATAGCTTTCCAAAGTGACTGTAATTACCTGTTGAACACAGTGCACCTATCCAAGTTTTGCATGAAACTAACTCAATTCTGATCATTATAATACACTATGCATCAGCAGTATTCCTCAGGAATTACAAAAATTTTGGTGTGCTAATGAGGTATTTAATTTTCTACCAGAAGAAAGATTCCAGATTTATTTCAGTGAAGTCCTTCTAAAACAATTAGGAATTCTTTTGGAGAGTTTGCTTGGTTCCCTAACCCTGCTCAAACCTTTGGATATTACAAGTATGCCCAAGGTAGTTTACCATCCTTATCAGTTCCAAGAAGCAATGTTTTTAGTGCCCTTTTCAAACTGCAAAATAAACATAATATTGATTTACACAACCCAGAAACATATAGAAAGATAGTAGTTATAGGAACAAGAGAAGACTTCAAATCTCTCCTTCCAAAATAAAGACATGGGAGCTATTATGTATGCTTAGAGGGAGATTAGGAAATGAGAGAAAAAGGGAAGTAGACTGGGAAAGGTGAGAATTGCATGTTTGTTGAATAAAGGGAATAAAACTCAAAAATGCAGAAACAGAAACTTGAACATTCAGATGGTTCTGAGATGCAGCTACACTTTCTGTTCCCTTGTTGGAATACAATCAAGCTAAATCCTCCCAAATTCTCCCACTTTCTCTTGTCATCCATTGCCTGGTCCTAGGACAAAAGACGAAATTTGGCACAAATCTGTTTATTATGACAGGAAATTATGAAGCTCTATTGAGAGAGCCTCAATATATATTCATTTTCTCAAATGCTTCAAAGTATTTTAAATGTAAATATTTATTAATTTATTTGTTCAATAAGTTGTTACTGGACACCTGCACTGTGCCAGGCATTCTTCTAGGTACTGAGAAAAAAAAAAAAAAAAGCAAAATCCTTGCTCTCCTTAAAGCCTTTCATAATATACCTTTAAAAGACAATAAAATTCAGGCTGGGTGCGGTGGCTCACACCTGTAATCCCAGCACTTTGGGAGGCTGAGATGGGTGGATCACCTGAGGTCAGGAGTTCGGGACCAGCTTGGCCAAAATGGTGAAACCCCGTCGCTACTAAAAATATAAAAGTAGCTGGGCATAGTGGCATGTGCCTATAATCCCAGCTACTAGGGAGGCTGAAGCAGGAAAATCACTTGAACCTGGGAGGCGGAGGTTACAGTGAGCAGAGATCCTGCCATTGCACTCCGGCCTGGGGGACAAAAGTGAAACTCTGTCAAAAAAAAAAAAAGACAATAAAATTTATAAATATAGAATGTTAGAAATGAGTGGACCCTTTAAGATCATCCAGTCACTAAACCATAAACTCTTCAAGGGTAACAGCAGTACCTACTTCAGCTCAACCTTGAATCCCATGTCCAGCACATAACCTCATTCAGGAAAGAACCTCAGTAAATATTTCTTGAGTGAAGGAATGACTGGACAGCCTCATTTTACAGGTGATGACACTGAAGTCTAGGTGCATAAAGGAACTTTCCCTAAATCATATGACTTGCTTATGACCAAGCCAGAGCTAAAACTCAGGTCTATTTGTTCAGTTTTTCCGATTATATCAGGTGGCCAAACTCATTTTAGCAATTCGGCACTGAAACTAAGTAGCTAGAGTCCATAGGGTTTTAGTGACCCATACAACTTTGGAGATTAAAAAATTGTTGGCTCCAAATTATAAAATAAAACCCGTAAAATTAAAATTGATGAAACTCGATTAGATGGCTACAAAAGGAAATGTTAGTCAGTTAGCTGGAACATATAAAACTCTCTCTCTCTCTCTCTCTCTGTATATATATATATATATATATATATATATATATATATATATATATATATATTTGTCTGAGATTAAAGTAATTTTTTACTTGATATTATTGAATATTAAGCAAAATATTTGCTTTGTTTTAAGCGAAGGGATGACTAGTTGGCAGAAAAAAAAGTGGGTCAAGTCAATGGATGCAGTGAAAGTTTTATAGGCCACCAAGAAATTATGGAGAGGAAAATAAAATATGGATGGAGGAAACAATGTAAAGAAACAATCTATTACAGCTTCCAAAGTGAGATAAACTAAGAACTCATGATAACATTTTTTAAAAATTCTACATCCAAATAAGGGAACAATAGCCAGATGTGGACAATACACCTGCTCTAGCTAGCCCTACTTTTGGTAGGAGACTGCATGTGAGTTTGGGAAAGGTTTTAACCTCTGACAAAGCAGAACTTATTATAAACAGAATCCAAGTTTTGTATAAATAGTTCCATTTAAGCCTGAATATCAGAGGGAACATTTTGATATTGCTAGCTTATTCTCCCACTGATGTCAACCCTAGATAAATCATTGCAGTGATAAATAATGTCGACTGTTTAGTTTATATCTACATTTTCTTACCTGTTCTATTCAGCAGCTTAAAACAACTGCCTGGAAAGAATTATGGATTGTGACTTCCCTGGTCCTTTGTATAAAGTATTTAGCTATAGTTAACATTTTCGAGCTCTTACTATGTGCTCAGAACAGTGCGAAGTGTACCTGTATCATTGCATTTAATTCTCACATCTACCTTAATCACCCCATTTCACAGCTGGGGAAACTGAAACACAGGGAGACTGAATGGTTTACGTAAGGCCACACTGTAAATTCCAACGTAGGACAGAGTTATCTCAGCAGATTTTACTTTAGTTGCTTTCCCTGGTTTTACCTTTGCCCAAAAAGAATGGGTAAGTTCAGAGTGATAACTAAAGCAGGGAGTCCGGTCCACAGCTATGTAGGTCTGAAGATTACAACGTTTAAAAATTGTACCATTAAAAGCAGCTAAAAATGAAGGGAAGAATCCTGATAAGTCTTCTGTAGTATAAAATCTGGTCTTGGCACTTTCCAGCACTAATTATGTGATTTGTAAATGCTAGAGATGAGTTAATATGTAATCTTTAGTATTTTGTGCAAAATCTTTGATCATCATGGTGAGTGTCAAAGACAAATGAATGGCTGGGGCCAGCTGGTCACTCCAATTACCATGTTCCATTTAGAGTAAATAGTCACATTCCTCATCTAGCGGATCAACCTCCCTCTGAGACAGTTATTACTTAGGAAGGGGCTATAGAGTCTAGAAGATTGAAGTGTGATTTTCAACACCAGGTGACATAGAACAAGTGAGTAGAAGCAATGACCTGGAGCTGGCAAATGAGGAAAGCCTGGAAGTGCTAGTGTGACGGCTGAAATCCAGCAAGGCGAAGCGTAGAATATGCTTGTTCTTTTTCAGTTTGCCTCTGAATAGTACTTTTACTTGTATTAAACATTAAAACTTAATATTAGTACTGTTATTTTGTTTAAGACATTACAGGAAAAACAAAAATGAGTCACAGTATTATGCATTAAATGTCTGTGTTCCTTCAAAATTCATATGTTGAAATTCTAACCCCCTAAGGTGACGGCATTAGGAGTAGGAATCTTTGGGAGGTGGTTAAATCATGAGGGTAGCGGACTCATGACTGGGATTAGTGTCTTTATGAAAGACACAACAGAGAACTAGCTAGTCTCTTCTACCATGTGAGGACACAGCAAGGTACAGAGAAAGCTGGCCCTTACCAGGATTTGTCTGTTGTTTATAAGCCACCTAGTTTATGGTATTTTATTATAGCAGCCAAAGACACTCGGGCTGTATGTGTGTGTGTGTGTGTGTGTGTGCACGCGCACACGTGTATCTATGTAGTGACCATTGAATGAATTTCCTAAGACTATTACTATTATCTACCTAGTGATGGCTTCTCCCCAAATCCATCTTTACCAGGGCAAAATCAATCCCCCAAATCCAGTTCTATTATAAAACCGAATGTGTCTAAAAAAAAAAAACAATAAACAAAAATCGATGATGTGTTTTAGTTTTAAATTTAGTTTTAGTAGTTTAGGCTTTTTTTCCTTTTAGGGGAAAAAAGTTTTTTCAAGACACAAATTTTTCAAATGGAACATAGTCATATTTTCAGGAGTAAATAACCTTATTTATATGAGAGGCTTAAGCTAGAGGCTCAAAAACTTGATTAAATTATTTAATGAAGTTGATTAAATACTCTTGCTGTGCCACGATTTAGTCTCAAAAATTATATTCAGTCATTTGGACAGATAATGTTAGAATCTGATAGAAAGCTGTAACCTGCCCATGCCATGGCATTTTAGCCTTGACAAAAACATTGCTCTTCCAAGCCCAAAGACAGCTTAGAGATTACCACCACGTTCACTGGCAGCCTCCATGAATTTTGTCATTTCTGTGTTAACTTAAAAAGAGAAAGTTAACATCATAGAAAGTAAATTCATATATTCTTGATGCATGATAGCTCAAGGATCCTTCAAAAGGGAAGAAAGAAAATGTTTTCATTCATTCATTTATTCATCCAGTGAAAGAAATTATGTCTTACTATGTCCATACACTGTTCCACGAACTGCAAGTATAGCAGTGGTGACACAGCCATGAAAACACAAAGCAAAAACCTCTAAGTTATTGGAATTTATATGCTAGCAAATTACTGTAATAATGTGTTGTTTATTGGAGAAAGAATGGTAAAGGAAAGAACAGCTAGATAAGAAGCACTCAGCCCTAAGGAGCGTAATTCGTCCTGGGTCACTTCTCTTGGATTTGCAAAGCTGACTAATTTGAATGAATCTCAGAAGTTTTGAAAAAGGAAAAACCATAGTAGTTTCCATATTCTTGATCCACAACCACAATTCCTAAGAAAGATCAAAACCACACTAAGACAGCAATAAAGATCTAAGTTATCTCTGCATGTATTTACAACAATGTAATGGTAGCCTTAAAGGATTCAGGGGATTAAGTGGACAATTTCACAGTGGTCCTTGAAAGATGTATGCCAAACTTGCTCTCTGATTCTTGCTAAAATAGAGTTTGGAAGCAGTTCTTGCCTTTATGCATTCCATTCATTTCCTTGAAAGGATGAGAATAGCATGTCGATGCATTCTGTTGGTGAGCAAATACCAGGAGCATATGCAGCAGCGGCTGCTTGTGCGCTCAGCCAGGCAGCCTGGTTGCAATGCTGCTGGAGGGATGGCGATGTTCCCAGCTGCCATTGCCTACACTGAGCTCTAATGGCCCTGTTTTCTGGCTCCAGTCCAGGCCCTTCCACAGCCCTACATTACTGAAATTAGGTTGAGTGGATTTCCGAGTAAAACATTACCTCTTGGGACCTGCCCAGCTCTCCCCAGCCTTGTCAACATTGATTAAATAGAAGCTGCTATCATCCTGGGGCCATGCCCACAATTACTCTACCAATCACCAATGAGCTGGGTGTTTGCTTCCTCTCTTTTTATTTTCATCTTTCTTGAATATTAAGCATCATCACCTCAAAAGCTCAAAGGAAAGTAATAATAATAATAATAAAAATCTTTGGCAGCTAACTCACATATGGCCCTTTTGTTGCTCACACAGTCTTTTTCTTTAGCTATATACCAGATGTCCATCTGGAGCCTGGATCATGGCTTTCAGTGGTCACTGTGATCCACATTTTGCTCGTTTCATTACCATGTTTCACATTTTAAGTTCCTTTCAAAACACTGAGCCAGTATATTTCATTTTGATGTGAGGAGAATTATGCAAGTAACATCTCTGCCCCCATTTCTTCCTTACTTTCCAAGCACTTAAAAGAGAGAATAACCTTTTTGCTAATAACACTATACACTAAAGGATTTCAAAGAGTAACCAAGAAGAAAAATCAGAGGCAGCATGATGGGGTCTCAGTGATATCTGCAATATGCCATCTACATGTCTACTTTTTCCCTCAAGTTTAGGCCTAAGACCAGGCTGATTCCTATTCTAGCCTAGACTTTGCCACTAACTAATCATACGACTTCAGAGAAGATGCTTTTCCTTTCTTTGTCTCAGTTTCCTAATATACACATAATATGAATAATAATGCGTGCCCTACCTTATCGTGGGTTGTTTGGAGTTTGAAGGGAGGTATTTGAAAGTGCTTTATAAAATCTAAAGTGCAGAATGTAGTTTGTCGAGATTTTAATCCAATTTATGGGGTTTGAGATTTGCTGAATTTTAATCCAACCTTCAGGAAATGAAGGATTTGAGAAATTCACTCAACCTAATTCTAGCTGCCAAGTTTTAATAGTCTCAAGAGGAAAAAAAGCAATTCTTCCACTACCCACCAAAAAACTTCTTTCCCAGACAGATGATTAAGAGACCTTCTCCCCTAGAATGTTTCTGTAAAGTCTGACTCTGATGAGGAAACAAAGATATGAATGACTAATTAATTAGAGAGCACTACTCAGAAAATAAAGATATGAGTGACTATTAATTAAAGACAGCTACTCTTATAAAACTAGGACAGAATATAATATTTCTAGTCTATAGAACAAAAGACAGTGTTTTTTTCTGAATGGAGAAAAAACCCAGAGATATTTTTTTAAAAAATTAAAACTAAAGCCAAAGAAGGTACAAGTTGACTAGCCTTGAAAACTTCTTAAAACATTATTTATAAAAAATGTCTATCAAATCATCAAAAATTAGTGTTCTCTCTTCTTCCCCAACTAGAAATATGCAGAAACATCAATAATTATAATTTACATGGCTTGCCTACTTGCCCTCAATAATTTTTGGAATAAGATGAAGTAAATATATTAAGTTAAATGATGTTAACTTTATTTCTTACCATTATTACAATGAATAAGTCAACTTCTAAAGGTTAAAAATTAAAACAAGAAATTAAGGGTATTCTCACTTTAGTATAACAAACAGTCAAATAAAATCACTCCCTCATCCCTGCTCCCAGCTAAATTACATGCTGAGCTGGCAGTGGAATCTGTGGGTCTATTGAGGCATTGCTTCAGTTTGTTTGGGGGTTGGAGGGAAGAGGTAGAATGCAGAGTCAGCCTAAAGATAAACACTGATGGTTCCAATGGCACTGAGAAATTATGAGAAATGCCATGACAAGAATAGAAAAATAATGCGATAGTGAGTGTTGTTAACTAATAGTGATGATTAGAGACATTTCAACCTAGGAATTTTTGTTTTCCTCCTTTCTGTAGGGGGGTGTGTGTGTGTGTGTGTATTTAGAACTTAAAAATCCCACGTGTGCCCAAACTTTATCATGGACTTCTAAAGACCTGAGTTTCAGGAGCTCTTTTCTCTCAGCATTTTCAAATTCTTGTGAGCTTGCCATAAATTGATTGCAAGTGGTCATTATCACAGTTGCAGTGTTGGCTCATAGCACTTTGCCGTCAAATAATTTCCTGAATTCTTTTTGAAATAAGGACTATTTTATTCTCCCAGGGGAATTCCAAATACATGCGTGCACGTGCACACACACACACATATGACCGTGAAGAATTTATAGCTTTATTTAAGAACTTTGATATATGGTATAACCACAGAAATCTAAAGCTTGGAGGAACGTAAGAGATACTTTAACACCCAATTTTTTGATAAGAAAATTGAAGCTGTAAGAAATTAGGTAATTTCTCTACTATGGTCATAAAATTGAAAAAGGCAGCACTGAAATCCAGGACTCCTGACTCACAGCCCAGTAATCTTTCCTTTATGGTATGATATTTTTCTAGGAGACTGGGGCAGATGACATTCAAAACCCAAAAACATGCTTTATCTTTATGCCTTGGCAGGCTGGATTCACTGAGACATTGAAGCTGATAGTTTGGTTTCATTATCTTACCAAACATAAAAACGGAAAAGAAGGAAAAAAAATAGGCTATGTTCTTAAATAATTTGAGTGGACAAAAATCATAAAACCTAAGTTTCACTTTGGGAGGCTTCATTTTTAACAGAATTTTATTATTAACTATTTTTTTTACCCAGTTTTCACTGTGAAGGGACATTAAATAATGAAATTTTTTTGCTATGAACTCTAACCATGGACACAAGCAAGAGATTGAAGAGCTAATTGGTCTCAATAAAAACAATTTATACATCCTGAAAATTTGGTTCAAAACAATTTTTAGTGGATTTCTCAGAGATTTGAACTAAACCAAATTATAAAACAAAAACTGGAATAAGCAGAACCATGTCACTGATATTCAACTATAGCAGTGCTTTTTTATACTGATCAATGAATCAGAAAAAGATTTTGTTATTCTCCCTCTTTAAAAACTCCATAAATCAGTTTTAATCAGGTTTAAAATAAACGTGTTTTAAATATTTGAGTTAAAATATCTAAATTATCTCCAAACAAAATTTGATTTTAACACTTATTTCACTCAGTTCAAACTTCTCAATTTTCACAGTAAAAACTAGGTCAAGGTATAGCCTATGATATCTACAGACAAAAAAAAAAAGAGTAGGTGAATAATTTTTCTAGGTTGACTTAGAATGTGATTTCCCAGAAAGCAAACTTTTGGGAAACTTTCAATTTCTATGGTAACCATAAGTTATCTACACTGCTTGGCACATTATAGTGAATCAGCACTTTAAATTGTAGTTCTCAAACCATACACATGAATCCGTGGGTGCTACAGTGAACTCACAGGAGTGCCAATATATATTTTGAAATTTGAGAGAAACTATCTGTTGGATACTGTGCAATATACTATTATTAAGCTCCTTGAACCTAACTGTCTAATAAGCAGAGGTTTAGGGGTGCCGTGAAAAAGTTATCGAGCCATAAACTGGAAAAGCTTGAAAACATATGTTTAAAATTAACATTAAAATCAATTGCTCATGTGTGTGTATATATATATATATATATATGTATGTTCATGTATACTTGCAAAATGCAGTAAAAATTAAGAATGCCATTTGAGACTTTAAAGTGCTATAAAGGACAGTTACAATATGACTGATTATCCAGTAATAACCTTTTTTCATATTAGCATTTTAAAAAGCTACTTAGTCAATGTTTGTACATCACCTTGAAAATGAAAAAGTGCTTTATGATTTGGTTCATTAGCATATATTCTTTGACATAGGCCTTAGAGTGAAATAAGCAAATTTATGTTATTGTTTTAGAACACGATCAATTTACTAACCTTTAATTCTAGGAAGTCAATGTTAATTGTATGTGTTTAACACTCTGAAAAGAAGTTTACAAGAAACACATCAGTAATTTCAATTCTACATCTCCCCGTTTCACTCCACAGGATCCCAGTTGAGAAGAATCCCAGCTAGGTGAAAATCTGAGCTGGGATTTCAGCCTCCAGCCTTTGCAAACTCAATTGCCTAAGAGGCCAGGCAAACAACATTAATGTGAAAATCTGGCCAAGGGTAAAATTGGCAGTGGGGTCTGTGGGGAACTGGAGAGTGCAGGTTTTGCCTAAAGGCATTAAAAAATGCTAAAGAACTCTCGCTGCAAAAGCAAGAGGAGGCAGGGCGTCTGGAGTAAGACATGTAAATTTGTGGACTCTGACTTAAAATGAAAGAGGTTCCCATTAATCAAAACTAATCAAAATAAAAGGCAGTCTCATACTTGCCTACAAGAACTAACTTTAAATCTGGGGTTCTGAATGACAGTGCTGCTTTTTCTATTTTACTAAATTTAAACTACTAGCATTTAAGATTTTTCAGTGAAGTAAAAATAAATAATACCTATTTCAGATTTTATAAATGTCCCACCAAAGCAAAAAGAGATAGCAAAAAAAAAAAAAAAAAAAAAAAACCCAGCCAGTTGTCAATATCATCTGTTCCCTCACTTGCCACTCAAATATTCTACAACTCTACATCTCTCCACGTGCCTTTCAGATGTCCTACATTCCTTGTAGTAGATGCTGTTGGTGCCCCTCTCAGATCTTCTTTACCAGGTCCATGCTCCCATCCCCCAGCTGCCAGAGGTGTTGGCTGCTAACAGCCCCACCTGCCACTTGGGTAAGGTATAGAAAATAGGAGCCACCTCAACCTGGTTCCTGAGGGGTCATGCCCCTCTGCCTACCATGACTCCACTCCAGTACCCTTGCTTTTGGACAAAACAACCTCTATGGTGCAGTTTGTGCTTCAGAGCTCTCTGTTGGATCAGGCTGAGACATTTCCCCTGAACTCTCGTCTTTGCCTGGTATCTTCCTCTGCTCTATCCTCTTTTCTCTCACTCTCTTATAAGTTTGCACCAATAAATTATATGCACAAGAATTCCCTTCTTGGACTTTGATTATGGAGATCTGGACCAAAGATAGCTCTTTAACCAAAAATTAAAAACTGGAGTTGGGAGGCAGACCAGCCAATGATATCAGTGAAGGATGTAGTAAATCTTCAAGTTTGACTCATTTGGATTTACTGCTTATAATTCCTATGACCCAGCTCAACTACATTTTCAACCTCCAAACTTACACTAAACAGAATTCATCACTTCATTCTCATATGGAAGTTATATGCCTTGCATTATATCATAGTTTGTGGTATCTTTTTAGTCTTCTTCAGTTGACTGTGGACTAACTTCTCAAAAGAAAAGTATACATTTGTTGGTGTTTTAACTCCACAAAAGCAGAGATTTCTTTTATTTTGTTCACCAGTGAATACCAAGTACCTAGAAACATGCCTGGAAAGTATGTTTCTAGATACTTGGTATATATGTGTGTGTGTGTATATATATATGTGTGTGTGTGTGTGTGTGTGTGTATCCCGATATATATATCTTGAATGCTTTGTGACATGTAGATGTCACCAAAGTAATTAAAGTCACCTCAATTACCTCGGGAAGAAAACCTGTGGTCCTATAATGTTACCATGATCAAAGGAAATAGCAAAAGTTTGTAAATTTAAAAATATTGGATTATAAAAAGGAACCCCAATGCTATTCTGTTTCATAGCCATGAAAATCATTATCCCATCATTCTCCATTTTTTTGCTAACTTTAATTTTATACCTATCTTCTAATTTTATAACCAAGTCTTCATATATAAAGAAAAAGTAAGAAATAGATATCTACTATAAGCATAACTATTTTTAGATGCGCAAAGTAGTAGTTAAGAGAGTTGATTCTAGAGCCAGAGTGTTTACATTTAAATTCTGTCTCTCAGGCTGAGTGCAGTGGCTGATGCCTGTAATCTCAGCACTTTGGGAGGCTGAGGTAGGAGGATCACTTGAGCCCAGGAGTTCAAGACCAACCTAGGCAACATAGGGAGACTCAGCCTCTACAAATAATTAAAAAAATTAGCTGGGCATGGTGGCATGTACCTGTCATCCCAGCTACTTGGGAGGCTGAGGTGAGAGGATCACTTGAGCCTGGGAGGTCAAGGCTGCAGTGAGCCACTGCACTCCAGCCTTGGTGACAGAGCAAGAGCCTGCCTCAAATAGAAACAAATAAATAACAAACAAACAAATAAATAAATTCTACTTCTGACACTATGACCTTGAGTAAATTACTTAACCTCTCACTGCCTAATTTTTCATAATATTGGTACCCACCTCATGGGGTTGTTATGACAATTAAATGTGTTCATTTAAAGTCCATATCAATAAATGACATATTTAAGTAAGCGCTTATAAGTGTTGGCCATTATAATATGACTAGAAGGGACCTAACATTGATTAATGTTTACTATGTGCCAAGCATTGTGCCAAGAGGTTTCACATATAGGTAATCAAAATGTATCTTTGCTGCTTTTCCATTTCTTCATAAGTAAAATAGGAATAATAATATCTACCTCATAAATTTGTGATGAACATTAAATGACAATAAACATTTTAAAATGCCACTTCTTTGCTCACATGAATGCCTAATAAATGAGTTATCTTCAACCTTTTCTCTTCTAACTTATGCTTATCCAATCATAACTCACAGCCAAAGAGAAACTGTCTTCAAATATCCTGACAAAGAAAGAGAAGAGTCTCTGACTTGTAAAGTTTCTGCTTGTGGAGTGAAAAAAAGAATAGTTTTTTGAAAACGGCTTTGAAGTCAGAGACCAAAGTCCAAAAATGATCACAAAGGCAAAGGTGACCATCGGCCAAACTTGAAGGGCAGCAAAGAAGAGAAGTCATGATTCAGTAATACAAGAATCAAGGCTACTAAGCAGTAATGCCTTCAAGGGCAAAGACCTTTCTGATATCGATGGTATTTCAAAGCAGAACAGCCTTCTCTATTTCACATCTAAAGAATAGCAGCCAGTTGATTAAACAAACAAAAACCTTATCTTTGAGCTAGCTTCATTTGTAGAAAAACTATGTTTACCATACTGAATGAGTAAAAGGCCAAGTCACAGCCTACCCCCCAGCTGGGTAGTAAATCTTGCATCCAATAGGCAAGTTACAGAGAGGATGGCAATTCTCCAGGCTTAAGACACTCCATCCAACTTCAAGAAAAATTCCCTTGTTTAATCATAATGCTGGAATCCTATACTTGAAAAGGACCCTAAGACTTCTTTTTAATAATTGATTCCTTAAGTTTCAGGAAAACGGTAAGATGCAATGAGATTTTTCAGCTTTTTTTGTGAGAAAGTTCTCATTTCCAGGAAGTACTGAAGTTATTTGGGGACAGGCATATGATGAAGGAAAAATCCTTTGAGAAGACTGCGCTGATGGGGTTCTTCTTTCTACTTATGCAAAACACTCTCGTTTCTGGGCGTTCTCAAATAGGGAATCCCAGCAGACTTTGAAGAATAAGGAATCAGAATGGGGTAGGAAGTGGCTGTTCTCTTGAAAGTTTTCTAGGCAAAGAGACGTCATACTTCTTTTGGAATCTTGTTCAAACATGATTGAAGTTAGCACCGACCTCCACCCTCCACGAAGGATTTTCTACAATTCCTCCTGCTGCATTTTGGAGGAAGTTAATAATTTTCAAAAAATTATACCTCGTGTATTTGATGTTAATTATTTAGGTCCATACTTAAGAGGTGAGGAAAAATTAAACAGGCTAATCATGTTTGTTGGTAATTTTTTATTGAATCTACTTTCTTAGCTTTTCCTTCTCAGTTTTTCATATTCATTGAATGATTGCTTAGGCATTGTACCGGCCTTTTCAAAAGTTTGGGTTTTTTATGTTTTGGTATTTCTATTATACCCATTATTTTCAACAATGTCACCCTAGATCTCATCTAATGAGATCAATCATAAAAGTGTTACTGTAGTAATTCCTGCCTGCCAGACTTTGAGAAAGTTAACCAACTATCTTTCAGTTATACTGATTTCCATTTAAAAATTCAATAAATGATTTTAAATGTTTTAATATATGATGAGTTAATATTCCTTATTATAAAGTTGGTATTTCCAATATTTACCTTTAAAAGCAAAAGCAGATCTAGGTTTGCCAAATCCCATGATCTGATATTTGATTAAATGATTTAATTATCTGACACCAGGGTTAAAATACAGAAACTAAAGCCAGACATAATTTTAGCTCTGTAAGAATGACACCAATAGTGACTACAGCTGCCTAAAAATATTTCCTATTTATATCTACTGCTTGGGTAACATTTAAATTTTTAAATAAAAGCACTGCATTTATGAGTCATATTCATTCAGCTCATGCCTTGCCGTGGTTCGGCATGATGTGTTTGGGTAGTACTTGAGATTAGCCAGACAATTATTTATCTTTGTTGTTTAATTTTCCCTTATGGCTGTATCTACACAGCACAAAGTAAACTAGAGACTTGGCAGTTGTCTTGTTAATTTTATCAAAGCAAATGGCTAAGCCACATAAATCAGGACAAAAATACAAAATCTGTATATACCGTCACAGACTCAGCTTGTAGTTGTTCATGAAATTACAAAGTAACAGAAGCTGAAGGAGACCTTAGAGATGATCTGATTTCAGTTCCTTATTCTCTATGAGAAAAGCTAAAGATGAAGAGTTTTTGTGACTTGTCCAAAGACACACAGCTAATTAGAATTCAGCGATCCTCCATTAGATCATATTGCCTTTCATAGCCTTGGGGAATGAGTAAAATCTGCTTGATTTTAACTTGCATCTCTTCCCAGAGTCCTAAATGTACTGTATTACTCTAATCCTCTCTCCCTTCTTTCTTCCTTCCCTCCATTGCTATTTTTGTTTGAGAAATGCAAGGTAATTCAATATAATTTTGCTTTAAGGCCTACCAAAAGTAATTTTAGATACTCTGGAGGCTTGCAGAATCATGGCTGAGGATTACTGTTTTATCAAATTCTAACATGTTATGTTCAAATTGCGGGAGGTGAAGTGGATATTTTATGCAGAAAGAAAATAAGTGGAGACCTCTAAAATTAGTAACTAAGGTTGAATAGTTAGCATTTGATTATGGTAGGCTTCATAGGCAAAATGGCATAAGAGTTACTGGAGAATGAAAATCCAGAGATAGCTAAAATTACTACAAATGCTATCATATCTAAGAATTTAAGAGATCGTTGCACTATCCTGAGGAAGAGGAAATAAAAGTGTAGATAATTCCTCCCATCTATCACCCCCTTCACCTCCAGTGCCAGCAGAATGTTAAAAAGCCAACTGTGAAGATTTAACTCAGTTTGGGAGTTAATTTTTAAAATATTGTTATAACAAAAAAGCCTTGCATTATATACTTGCATGTGTGTAAATAAATGCAATCTCCATCTCTTACTGGGACAACTCATTTTGCAGTCATTGTGTGCCTTGGCTTCCTGGGGCCTGTCAAATTATGGTGCTGCTTTTGAGTAAAAAATCACTTTAGGAATCAATAGCACTCACTGGAACACAACCAGAACTATATTGAAAAAGTGATATTAGTATTTGTACTGATTTTTTATTTTTCAGTCAAAGATCTCCAAGCTGTTTACTTATTTTTAGTGGCAAAGAATGTTATAGATTTGACTATTTGGGAACACTATAACAATAAACAGTTAAAGAACAAAGAGTCACGGAGAGTCCGTGTTTTTAGAGGATAGCTCTATAGAGTCATGTACGCTCTGCCTATCATATAATACAGCCATTTGAAAAATCATGCCTCACTTTTCTGAACCCAATGTTTTTTTCTCTCCAATAAAGCCATTTTCCAAGACATACTTTACATCTAAAACTGCCTCCTATTTATTATCTACCTTATTTCAAAATCCTATTTATTTGAAAGCAATCAGAATACATACAGAAACTTCAGAGTAGAAAGAGGCTGTGGAGATCCTCTAGCATTTCCCCACCTAATGCAGGAATCCCCTATGATACCCCAGGCAGAGGGACAGCCTCTACTTTAACAGGCATTCCAGCTCTTCTGTAAATTATTCCAGATACTCAGCTGAAATCTACTCCCTCTAAGTTTCTATGGAGTTCTGTCTTCTGGAATAACACAGAACAAATATATCTCAAATATATTCTCTGGCACATGATAGCCCTTCAAAAAGGCAAAAATAGCCTCTTTCCTCATAAAGTTACAAACATCTTATTTTCCTCTTCAATCATAAAACTTCACTAAAAAATAAACTGGAATTGTGCCATCTTTTCCTCACCTTCCTTATTTCTCTGTGAACTGAATTTTAGCTTTACTGTTTTTAATAACAGTGTTCTCCTTGATTTCATAAATATACATATTCCCAATCCTAAGGCCTTTTCTCATTTACCATTGTTCTTTATCTTTCCTTAAGTACTCTTTATTTTGACTGTTGACCTTTACCTGAGCACTGTACTCCAGAAAACATCAACAATTAGGAAAGTTCCTTAGCCTTTTGCTTTCTTAAATCTCCCACATCTTTTTGTACTCCAGGAAATGGCTAACCTTGAAGAACACTCTTCTCCATATGACTTGCGTCAACTCTTTCTCAGGACTCCCGTAAGACTCAGAGATGATCCCCTTCTTTACCTGTAACAAGGGCAAATATAGACCTTTCCCCTTTTGCCTGAAACTGCTGACAAAAATAGATACAGATACTCTTAACTTTCCATTCTTTGTCTCATGGATGTTTAGCTGAGATTAGAATTTTTTCCTTTGAAAGGAGCTACACACACAGAGAAACAAATCCTGTTTAGTTGACTGGACTTCCCCTGATTGCAAAACAACACAAAATTACCTGACCTATAACTTGTCTACTCCTTCCTATAAAAGTCTAATGGAAAACCACCCTGCCAAGACATGATCTTGAGATCTGGAGTCTCTTGCAACAGATTAAGTAAAATCATCTCCTTAACTGTTGGTGCATTTTGGCTTTGACACCTTCTTAAAATATTCCTTTTTCTTAGCTTCAATGAGCAGTATATTCTGGATTTATTTCTGCTGTTTTCTAGCTTTTCTTTTGCCATTCTGGGTCTAGTTTTTTTCTTTCTGTCCCCTAACATGACCTCAATCCAAGATTCAAGTCAATATTATCCTTGTAGACTCTGTATCAGAAAACTCATTCCCTCTAATGACTTCAATCCTGACCTCTATCCAGGTAACCACCTGATTTATATTACCACTGTCTTATCATTAATCCTTAAAGATCACTGTAAGCATATTACTTTCTTTATCATGAAATCTTAACTCCTTGTTCATATCCATCAAATTCCAAGTTCTACTTCCAACTTCTTAAATTCTTAAATTCCAAATTCTTACTTCCCAAGTAAGTACAATCTTGACTCCATTCCTGGCTCCAATCCTATGTCTTTATCTGAGACATCACCTGACCATTATCTCTACAAGTGTAACCAGATTGGCCTTAACATTCTCTCAGTGATTCAAATTTAAAACCCTCTCTCCCAAATGCACCTGTATCTGTTGATTCTTCTTTCTCAGAAGCACATCTCTCTAACTGAGGCCAAGAAATGGAAAGAAAAGATTTAAAAATAGGAACTGTACTAATACAATTGATGTTAAATATATCAGACTCAAAGAGAATTGAATCTAGCAATACTACTACAATTTGGGCATGGAACCAGTAATAGCCAATGGGAGGAAGGACAGGTTGGCGGGGTGGAATGTCTGAGGCTTATGATTATGGGAAACAGTAAAATAGAAGGTCAACAGCAGAAGTAGTAAACAAACATTGGAGGTTGGTAGAACACAGCAACTAAAAAAGTCCAATGTAAATCAACCATGGACATTTGGGGAAATCTGTCAGCCAACAATACAGCCTCCTAATTATAGGTCCAAGAACAAGATTACCATCTCCAAGAGAATAGATGAGAATAAGGCTAGGCCTTAGTCTTGGAGAAACCAGAATCTAAAAGAGATAAGATAGGAATGTAGGTAATGTAAACCAAGCAGAAGTCTAGTTAATGGAACTGTTCCCAAGTAAGAAACCAATTATTGGTGGGTACCATTTGACTTGGTGGTGAGCCAATTGTGTGTAGGGCTCTTTAAATGACCCTACCCCCGGAATAACAATGATACTGATTCCACAGCCAGGTACAGAACTCACCTGAAAGAGAGATGGTGAGTGGTGAGTGATCTCACAGAGGGGCTCAGAGGATATATGACAGTACACCAAACTGGCATTTCAGGGGGTGGCAGAGAAGATACTAATATCAGAACGAATAGAGTCATATCTTAACATATCATTCTGTTCCCAAGGTAGACCTCTTCCAAACTTCTTCTCTGTTGTGGATAGTGGTAGCTAAAATAGTCACTTAAAGCTGACAGATCATAATATGAACGGGAGAGGAGATGGTTGCTGCCCCAACAAATTATCTGACACCCTTTAGTCTGAAACAGGGAACATAGCTTTCCTTGGGATTTAAGGGAAAGTGTACTAAATTTAAACATTTTGTCATAGTCTTACTGTCATTTGACTGGGTCATGTTTGATGTCTGCTGTCAGTCTGATCTACATGTCCTTGTCATCACTGCTAATTCAGGTAATAAATTTCTCAATGAGTAGTAAAGATAATTATAAACTCATCTGTGCCCTGAGGCATCCTGTGTAATTACTGAGATCAAAAATGTGAAAATACTACAGATAGAAAAAATAGAGTTAATTTTGTTTCCTACATTAGGTTTTTATGAGATTTCAGAGGGAGAATTAGTGAATTCAGGAAAGTGTAGCAATAAATTTGGGGTAAAGATGGCATAGAAAATATTTAGATGTGGGAGAAAATAAGAAAAAGACTTTTTCACTGAAGTTAACTTCAGTGTACATAATAATATAGAGAGAAATTCTATGGAGCATCAACCACTTACAGCCAAGACTAAAAGGAACACACATATAGTTGAGCAAAGGTGGGTTTATTTACATGTTACAGCTAGGAAGACTCTATGCTATGGAGAATCATGAGGTGTCTCACAAGAAGGGACTAGAAAGGGCTTTATTTGGGCAGGTGTTAGGTGATTTGGAGGTGGTTTTAGGGAAACAGAACTTTGCTCTGGATTGGAATGCTGTCACAAAACAGGCGTAATTTTATTTTTAGGCATCTCAATAAATATCATCTAGGAAGAGGGAGGAATAAAGTAAGCATCATTATTCATATTGGCCAGGCTGAGGAAATATTCAGACATTTTATGGTTTGGACAATGTGCATATTTAGTCTGCGTTCAGACATGATTATTATGGTGGTCTTGTTTTGTCCTGATCCATCACACAAAGTGCCCTTGTCTGATGTTGGTGTTCTGCAAAGTTGTTTATATTAACAGAACACTAAGGCTAACTTGTGAGCTCCAGGCCAGCTCCTGGCTGTCAGAAGCTGCTTTTCTCTTTCTTGAGACAAATAAGGAACAGTTAAACTTGACTTTTCCAGATCTGAGGTGTCATTTAAGGCCCTTTCTTATACTTGCCTGTATCCCACTGCATAGTTTCCTGTCTAGTAATACTACAGGCATGTAATTCCCCTGAGCATCATAGAAAGAGAAATTACATTGATTGCCCAGACACTGTGAAAAAAATTTTACCTCAACCCAGTGCCATCAGCTCAAGCTCTATCCTGAAAATGCTTTTACTGGCTCTTAAAGATGCATATGACTCCCAATAGACTAGTGGCACTGTTTCCTAATTTAAAATATTTTAATTAAATAAAATCCTTCTTAAAGAAGAAAGAGCAAACCAGATCAGAGTCTGTCACCTCGGTTGTCTTCTCACTGCACTGATATGACAAGACAGCAAGTTGGGGGTTTTCACCCTCTCTCATCCCCCTCTTCCTTTAATGGCCTGTCAAAAGGAAACTCCATTCAGTGTTGGTATTAATGCCTGCTGTAAATAAAAAGGAAATGGGAGGAAAGAGGAGGAGGGAAGAGAGGGGGTGTTTGATAGAAGCTAGATTTGCAGCTCAATTGCAAGGCATCTCTCTCAGAGTGTCTAGACACCAGCTGCCTGGTTACCATGGAAACCCACTAACTTTGGCTGATGGGCTGAGTAGTAACGACTCTCAGGAGATCTGGGTGGGTGCGTAGTGGTGGGGGAAGAGGAAGGAAGGTTGGGAACGATGGCACAGAGGGTGTTAGAGCAATATGGGAGAGAACAAGTGAAAACAAAATTCTCTTTGTAAGAGAGTGGCATTAACCCTGTTACTGTTTCTCACGTGCACTTCACACATGTGGTGACAAGGTACAAATCTGTCTTACTCAGCAGGTGTCAGGATGCAGGATGCTCAAGATGAATAGCGGAGGTAGAATGATTGTATTCTCATCAACCTCCTGCCAATGCCAAAGTACTTCCTCAGTAAACCAAATCTTTCCATGGTAGACAGACACAATCAACAATTGTCCACATAAGATCAGAAGCAGGGAATTCCAATCCACGAGAATGGCTGCCGCTTTTACAAGGAATCAGCAGTAAAGATGAAACACAGCCCTTTATGCCTTAGGTGTCCTGCCTTCCTGCTCCTCCCATTTTCTGTTGTCATACGTAAGGGTTGGGCAGCTGTTCCAACAATGGAGGATGGTGGTGGGAATGCTGAGGCTATGAGTAAGAAATGAAGGATTACCAGTTTAGGGCCAAGTCATTATATGTACAACCATATTTTGTTATCTAACTTATAAACAGATTCCTATTATCAGGGGTTCTGGTCCATAGATTTTAAAGTTTTATAGTTGCTTGCTGTCACCCTGGTCCCTTCCCACTTTCCTTTGGGATTGGGATTTTTCAGGTAGCACTGACACCCCCACACCCTCATCTCTCTTGTCACCTAAGTATGTGCTCATTTCCATCCTCTACCCACACTTTTCCACTCCACTTTCCAAGTTCCACCACATACAAACATAGCCCCACAGACATAAGCAGCCTTTTCTCACCAAAGATTGTCTACAGCTGTATGAATTAGATTTGTTTGTCTCACAGTGTTCTGCATTTATTCTTACCAACCACAGTTAGAATCTTAAGAGAAGACCTACTGGTTTTATTGGAGTAATCTGAGTCACAAAACTATTTTCTAATTGTGCAAAGCTAATAGATGATATGAGACTTAATCCTTGGACTCTGATCATGACCGACAGAACTGGTTTTATATATATATATTATATATATTTTATATATAATATATATATTATATTTATATATAATATATATTTTATATATATTATATATTATATATATTTTATATATATTATATATTATATATTTTATATAATATATAATATATATTTAATATATATATTATTTAATATATTTTATATATTATATATAATATATATTATATATATTATATATAATATATATTATATATTTTATATATTATATATAATACATATTTTATATATTATATATAATATATATTTTATATAATATATAATATATATTTTATATACATGTTATATATTTTATACACACACACACACACACACACACACGCACATGTACTCTGTGAATTTTTATGCAGTGGTTCCTTTGAAGAAATGCTCCCGCATGGGAAAACGTTCCAATCACATTGAGTTATAATCAATATGTAAGCAAATTTAACATACTACAAAAGGGTTACTAATAGCTAAATGCTGAGTTAACTATAATTTATAAGTGGAAAATTTTAATCTGCCAGAGACTCTTTGTTAGACATTAAAGTTTCTATGACTTTGATTTGATGATTCAACATGAAAGAAAGGCAGCTCACTTCTAAGCAAAAGTGTGTTTTGCCATCTATTTCCAGTCTGGGCAGAATTCCCAGTGGTTTTGAATTTGCTAAAATGGTTCTCTGCTTTTAGAGCTATATCCTTTGCATTGAAAGATGAAACAATTTCCTCCCTGTGGCATGGACTCCATGTAAGGAGGGCTTGTGAAGCAGTGAGGCTAAAACAAGGGGCCAGTGCCCTGATGCCACAGACACAACCCAGTTATAGTTGCTGTCCAGCGGCCATCATCTTCCGGTCATTAGGAGGATGGCATTACATGTGAGAACTCTATGAGTCACCAAAGAATGTACAGGGACAAAGGACGGTGAGGAAACATGTGCTTAGGTGGCGGAGAGGAAGTTCCTTTAGAACTGCCTGTTTAATACATGTGCTTGGTATCTTCTTCACTCATTGAATGAATTGATATTTATTGAGCATTTACTGCTTGTTCCAGTTGCTGAGAATACCACAGTGTACGAAATAATAATAAAACAAAAAATACCCTGTCTTCATGAAGTTTATTATTATAAATAAATAAATGTAATGTATAATATATTAGAAGGCAGTAAGCACCATGAAAATAACAAAATTGGCTGGGTGTGGTGGCTCATGCCTGTAATCCCAGCACTTTGGGAGGCCGAGGTGGGTGGATCACTTGAGGTCAGGAGTTTGAGACCATCCTGACCAATATGGTGGAGCCCCATCTAAATACAAAAATACAAAATTACAAAATTTAGCCGGGTGTGGTGGGCGCCTGTAGTGCCTGCTACTCAGGAGGCTAAGGCAGGAGAATCACTTGAACCCAGGAGGTGGAGGTTGCAGTGAGCTGAGATTGCACCACTACACTCTAGCCTGGGCAACAATGGTGGGACTCTGTCTAAAATCAAACAAACAAACAAAACTAACCAACAAACAAAAATTACTGAAAATAACAAAACTGGGAAAGAGAAGGGGAAATGCTGGGATGAGGTTGGGGTGACAATATTAAACGAAGAGAAAGTTGCTTTGAGAAGGTGATATCTGAACGGAGAGCTGAAGATGGTTAGAGAGTGAACTCTATAAATTTCTAGAGGAGGGAGGTTTTGAGGCAGAGGGAACAGTAAGTTGCAAATTCCCTGCATATGAGCATACCTGTTTGTGGGGGGGGGGGGCGGTGGGGGGCAGCAAGGAAATCAGTATTGCTAGAAAGGACCAAGAAATGGAGAGTAACAGGAGAGGAAATCCAAGTGGTGACCTAGTGGATATGCTGAGAACATGGAGCTTTGAGGCCACTTTAAGGACTTGACTTTTGCTGAAGTGAGATGGGTGCTAGAAAAAGTGAGATGTGCTGAGATTCTGGATATATGTTGAAGGTGGAGCCAATAAGACTTGCTCATAGATTTAATGTTGTCAAAGGAAAAGAAAAAAAGGAATAATTTTAAGGCATATGGCCTAAGTATCAGGAAATGATGGACTTGTCATTTCCTGAGATGAGAAAGACGGGAGAAGGAGTAAGTTCAGAAAAAAAAGACAGAAGTTTGGTTTTCAAGAGATTTAATTTGAGGTATCTATTAGATATCCAAGTTGAGATGTAGAGTAAGCAATTGTCTGGAGTGGGGAGAGAGGTCCGGGCTATAGATGAGCTCAGAGAGATCACCAAAGTCATAAATGTAAATAAAAAAAGAGAGAGAGAGAGAATGTAGAAGAGAAAAGAGGAGAAGACATCCAAGAACTTAGCTGTGGGGTAACTCAACATTTCAAATCAGGGAAATAAAGAAGGAAGGGCAAATGAAACTGAATGGGACTAGCCAGTAGGTTGGCAAAAATAATCAGAATAGGCAACATCCTGGACGAGCAATCATGAAAGTGTTTCAAAGAGTAGAAAGTGATCAACTCTGCGATGCTGTTAATAGGTAAAAGAAGATGAGGCCTTAGAATTGGCCATTGGGTTTTGGCGATGTGGAGGTCGTTTGTGAGTTTGGCTAAAGTTGTTTCACTGGATGGGGAGTTTGGGGAGTGGGTAGGAGGTAGATGTGATTGTTGTGGATTAAACGCAGAATAGGAAGAAACAAATTGGAGAGAGTATAGACAACTCTGGTTGAGAACACAGACTCAGGAGCTAGACTGCCTGACTTTGAATGTGTTTCCCAAATGTGATACCTCAGGCATGTTATGTGTTCTCTGTACTTTGATTTCTCCATCTATAAACGGGGGAGTTCTTACCTCATAGGGTTGCTGTGTATGGATGACACATGTAAAATGCTTAGATTATATGCTCACTAAGTATTAAATAAAACAAACAATCCATATTGTCACTTCTCTTAATTCTTAAAAAGTTGGGGTCCTTGGAAACAAGTTCTATTTTCACTTCTGGAGACTAAACTAATAATAAATGTTATTTGAGCAACTGTGATGAAATTTCTGGAAATGTTGATCTATTTTAACAGTGCTTGATGACAGACTTGCATTGAACCACCTCAAGGGTGTGTCACATTCCATTTCCCAGTTAGTCTAAGGTTCCAGTTTTAAAAAGCATAGTCTAAGGATCCAGAGTATTTAATGCATTTAAGGTTTTCCAAGCACTAATATTCTTTAACTCTGAAAGATCCTAAAATTTTTCTTTTCTGATCACATTGAACTTCTGTGGTAGTTTATGTAAAGCACTTTGAAATCTACAATATTCAAAAGTGTTAAGGCACTGATATTTCCATGCTATAAAAACAGTTCAACTGGCATTTTGTCAAACAGAAGTCTTTATCAACTAACACTTCTGCACTACAATAAAAAGTCGCATTTGTATAATGATCCTGAAGCATTTTATGACAATGATTACTATACTTCTAATGTTGTGTATGTTTTATTATATCCCAGATCTTTCCCATTGGAAACCCAATCATGACATGAATAGCAATTATTAATCAAAATATTTGATAAACCAGAATGTTTCATTCCCCAATTAACACTGGATAGCACAAAATTTACTGTAAATGTGCTGTTCCTTTTCTATCTTGAGGATACGCATGTTGAAAAATAAAAAATAATTATGGAAAGGGAGCAGAAATGAGACTCTGATATACTCACTAGCCCTGTGGCCTAAGATAAGTCATTTAAGTTCTCTTGCTTCTGTTTCCTCATTTGTAAAAAAGGGACAGTGATATCCCTCATCATAGGATCATTGTGAAGCTTAAACAAGAAACTCCATGTGGAGCTTTTAGCAGAAAGCCTGGCACAAGATAAGTAAATGTTATCTGTATTTTGATCATCATCGGTATTATTGTTGCTATTGTAATTATTCTATGGCGAGGGCCTAATAAGTGAAGCCAGACCAAAGACTGAGTAATTCAAAGCTATCAAATATGCATTAGGTTGGCTTCACATTTTAATTAAGGCTTGAGTTAATATTAGAAATATAGAGTCACCATTGTCTTTGTGAGGAAAGCCCGATTAATTATAGAAGCTCAATAGACATACAGGGCTTGTGATATATTCATAAGGATTTATTCCAGATAGATGGCTTCGGGGTGGAGCTGGAAAAACAAGCTATGCTTCGATTTCTGGGCTGCCTGTAACAGCAGCGGCAGCCACTCAGGGTTTCAAGAGACGCTCTCACAGCCTCCTGAATGACTGCTCCCCCCTCCCCTGCAAGTGACGGGGACAAATGGCTGCTGTCTCACCACACATCTCCTCTTCCCATCTCCTCCACCCTCCGCCAGCCCACCGGGCACGTGCCAGCAATGAGCTGCCTGCCTCACTGGGATGCTCAACTCCATTAATAAGCCCTGGAAGGCTGATAATTGGGGATTCGTGGAGCCTGCAGTTTTTCAATAAGCCAGGTTGTTATGGAAACCAGCAGCAGACCTCCATGTCCAAATTATTGATCCTAAACAAAATAAAATAAAATAAAAGTGGGGAGCAGGAAAGGATCATTTCAATCCATCCTCTCCCCTGCCCCGCCCCGCCCCAGCCCCCATCATTTTATTTTAGAAGTCCATTACCAATTTGCACACATGAGACTTCACAACTCTTCTCTCTTTCGGTTTCCTTCTCAGCACTCCCCCACCCCTTTCTTAATTACAACTGAATGTTTTTTCACCTCTAGCAGAAAAATCAGCTGAGCAGGGTACCAAAGGCACACCAGAGTAGACACTCTAAATTGAATTTAACACCATAGCATTAATGCTGTTTATTTGAGCCAAGAAAATCAGCAATGAATATCAATGTGCTTTCCTCACCGTTAAAATAAATAATAATAATAATAATAATTTAACAGGATTTTTTTAAATGGTCCCAGAGTCTCCCCGTGGCTCTTAATATGTATTGTTCTCTAGCAAGACGGCCAAGCCACCACCCAAGATGACTAGCCCTGTGTGTTGAAACCAGGGCCCAGCTCTCAAATTGTCAGAGGAAAGGGGGCAGCATTTCCTTGGACTACTTTTAAAAATTAGCTGACAACCTTCTTACAATAAAAATCCAATTACTCCCTTTGGTTAATAAATTCAGGTATGATGCAAAGAAGACACCTGAGAGGGAGGCCTGGAGAGAACACTAAATGAATCCAGCCTGGAGGCTGCAGTGGGCCTGGAATCGCCACCTCCATCTCTATGTTGAAAAGACGAGGACACCATTGTTTCCTGATCAACTTCCCATTTCATCCCAGCAGAGGGCACCAGTGTAATTCTGTTCCCAGCTGTGGAGGCTGAGTGGAAGGCAGGCGTGTCAGGCGTCACTCTCCAGGAAGAAATGACCCCAGGCAAACTGCATAGCAGTGCAATAGGAACAACTATTGTGATTGGGTCCTATTTTGAAGTTAATCCTAAATCAATTTTGATTTTTTGGTCCTTCGAATATGACCAAAAACTCAGTCTACAAGTAGATTGTTAAGTCACTTTAACAGGTATGCTGAAATAATATTAATATCTTTGAACTGAATTCATAAGTGTGGATTGTGCTTTGTGTACACTTCATAGAGACATCAGAGTCATTCTGGGAGCAAAAATAATATGGTGAAGTAAAAACTTTAACCACCCTCTATTTGCTGTTGGACCAAGACTGAAAACTTCCGACCACTTCAAGGTCCAACATACCCTACCTTCTCCTCACTGGCACAAACTACTAAGGCCGGTATCCTCACCAATGCTTCATCATAATGCTCATTTCTTTTCTTCAGACCCTACCCACTATCGTGGTCTCTGAATTCCTTTGCCACAACTACAGACTGCAGTTTGCAAGCAGTCACAGACTTATTTTGTTCTATACTGGTACTGAGTCTTTTTTGTTTCTGTTTTCTTTTAAGAGCCTTACTTTTCTCCCCATCCAGACTGTAACTTCCATGACAACAGATATTCACTTTTATAATCTACATCCCTCACAATGCCTGTGTAGTGTGGAAATTATACGTATTAATAAGTACAAATTAATTGAATGACAGTAGAATACAGTCCTTGCGATATCTGGGTTTATCTCCTCTATTCTGATGCTAACTCATTGTGGGACCATGGCCAGACCATGCAACTGAATCCCAGAACATGCTTCATCGTTCATTAAAACACAGGCACACACAACTTCTCCTGGAGATTGTTCAAGCATAGTGCATCATAATATTTTTGTGCAGTGGTCCCAGTAGAGTATCTGATGAAAGACAAGGTCATTTTGCCAAGAATATCATCCGTATGCACACACAGTATAACATGTTGCAAATAATCTTAGGAGATGAAAGAACCCTCCTGAAGCCCATCCAGTTCCCAGGCTTAGGCAATTTTTAAGTTTCCTTTTAGGTCTAAGACTGTAGGATTGAAATACAAGATGTGACAAGTTATAGCTGGTATCTACCTGGAAAGAGTGTGTTAGCTATTTCCCTTAAGGTATCCCAACCTTTTCTATTGAATCCCTAGATTGCAGTTTCTGAGGGACAAATTACATGAAGCCCAAATTAACCCTAACATCACTACCTGGTAACCTTGGCTGACTTCCAGGCTCAATCATTACTGATAATGTAAGGACTTGGTAATGTTGCTGAGCTACAAGGTAGGCCAAATAGAATAGACTCTGACTCCCAAAAGAGACTGCAAATCATTATGTGTCTCTCTTGCTGGCCATAAATCATGTCCTATTTGCACGTTAATTTCCTTCATAAAATCAGGTGTAGTACCAAAGAAAAAGAAAGTTCCCCAATAGCTTCAGCTGAAAGGAACAGGAACAATGGTGACTTTCTATTAGGCACTTACTGTGTGTTCAATAAAATACCATAATAGACACCTTTTACACATGATCTATTTAATACCGACAACCACCAAGTTCAGCAATGAGGATATTTTATTTCACAATGACAAAGCTGACGCTGAATTAATGGCATAGAGCTGGTTAGGGACTGGACCTTTGATTCAAACATAGATAGGTCCGATTCCAAGATCGCTCTGATATTTCTCCTCCACTGCAGGCCTCCAAGCAAGAGATTTGGCTAAATTCATGTTTGTTGCAATTCTGTCTATTGTTGCAGTATCCACTGAATAATATATTTGTCTTTTGTATTACTTCGAATACAAAATAGTACTCTGAAATACTTTACTTTGGGTCACCAAGAAACCATTGTTCTCTTTATTTGCTGGATGAAGTAATTTCTTCCACTATTTTACCTGTAGGAAGATGACAGATTATCCATGCTTTTACCATCTTCAATTTTAAGATTTGCCCAGAGGGGGCCAGGCGCAGTGGCTCATGCCTGTAATCCCAGGATTTTGGGAGGCCGAGGCGGGTGGATCATGAGGTCAGGAGATTGAGACCATCCTAGCTAACATGGTGAAACCCCATCTCTACTAAAAATACAAAAAGTTAGCCGGGCATGGTGGCGGGTGCCTGTAGTCCCAGCTACTCAGGAGGCTGAGGCAGGAGAATGGCGTGAACCTGGGAGACGGAGCTTGCAGTGAGCTGAGATTGCACCACTGCACTCCAGCCTGGGCGACAGAGGGAGACTCCGTCTCAAAAAAAAAAAAAAAAGAAAGAAAGAAAAAAAAAAAAAAGATTTGCCCAGAGGATCTTCATATGGGGAGAGGAGAGTATGAGGATCAAAAGTGATTATTTCAGATTATCAGAAGAAAACTTAGGCAAAATGATAATAATTGAGGACCTACTCTATACCTGGTTCTTTAAATATGTTACCTCATTAAATCCTCATCACAACTGTTTAAGGGTAACATTTTAATCTCTATCTTATAGATGAAGACACTGAAGGTTATACAAATCATTAAAACCATGCAGTGAGGAACCTGAGGTTGAACCCAGGACTGTCCAGTTCCAAGACTGTCTCTTTATGAGGTGTTCAAAGTAAAAAAATGTTTCTGAAACATGCCTTGTAATCTGAAACTTCTTATGGAAATAGGCCTACATTTAAAATTGTGAGATTATGAAACTCAATCCTTTTCTTTTCCTGTCTGGAAGCAAGCAGAGACAATGTCTCTTGGTTTGTTGAGGCAGCGCTGGCTGGGGACTGATGCTGCAGAAGGGCTCAGACAATGGTGGGCAGGGGGTGGCGGGGGGGTCTCTCCTAGGGGAGCTGTGCCCCATCTGCCACTTAGATCTGCTCAAAGACAGAAAATCCATTTGTCAAGGAACCCTTTAGGGCCTGCTGTTTGTGAAGCCAAGAACAGAGAGCGCTAGTGCTGGAAGATCCCATAAAACCATCTTTTACCAGCAAGGAAGGTAAATTGGCCTTGGCCATGGCCAGAGAGCTTGTCAGAAACAGAGCTACAAGAAAACCACGGCTGTCTCTTGGTACTCAGCTCAGTCAGTGCCTTCCCCTGCTCTTCAGCGCCCCTCCAGCCCTGCTTCTCCCACACCTCTTGCTTTCTCGCCTATTATTCCTTCTTTCTCTTTTCTACCATCTATTCTTTCTCCACTTTGCCCTTGCTTATTCTTTCTGCCTCCCCTGATCGATTTCTGGTCCTCTTCTGCTTTTTTTCCTCCCACTTTTTTCTCCATTTTCTACCCCATTATTCTTCCCTCCTACTCTCCCTTTTCTCTATAGGAAGTAAAGAATCTCTATCCACATCCCCACCTTGTTCCTCCTAAGGGCCCACCTTCCTTTTTCACATTCTGACCAATTTTCCTTCTCAATCAAATATCCTCATTCAGACTCAGAGTGTCTGGGTGCCTAGGAAATATTTAGAAATGGGTCATGGAAAAGAAGTTGCTGATGTATAAAATTCCAAAGAACTGGGCTGCAAGCAATAAAGATGGACACTTGCCTGAAAAACTCTTAGCTTTTCTTGTGGGGCTTCAAATTTAAAAAATTAAATGGTTCTTTCCCTTTCAAGCTGTTTATGAAAAGAAATCTCTCCATAGGTGCAATCCATATTATTGGCCAGTCAGAGGATGTCTATTGAGAGCCTTCTATGTGCTGTGCTCTATTCTGAGCACTGGGGCTACCATGCAGCCTTCAAGAAATGAAAAGTCTACTGAGAGGGAGAGAAACTGAGGACGACACAGATAAACACAGTCGTTTTAGGCACTAAGAATGCTACGGAGAAAATAAACTGGGTAATGTGATGTAACTGTTGGCATTGGTAGGGGTAGTGCAGTGCTGTTCTGCCCAAATGGTCAGGGAAGACTTGTCTGAGTAAGGGACATTCAAATGGAGACCTGAGTGCCAAGAGGCCAGGGCTAAGAGGTGACCATGGGAAGCTCAAGGGAGAAAGCAAGTGTAAAGGCCCTGGGACAGGAGCAAGCTGTATACATTCAAGAGACCTTAAGAAAGCTATTAGGGCTGGAGAATGGGGAAGAAGGGCTGAGCAGAAGGACATCTGATCAGAAAGCTAAGACGTGAGATCATATGAGGCCTCCTAGGCTGCGGAAGTAAGTTAGATTGTATTCAGATTGCAAAAAGTAGGCAAGCATTGGGAGGTTTTTTGTGGGGCATTGATATGGACAGGTATAAATTCATAGCTTTGTATGAGTGGTTTTTCAAGTAGTCTACTTGAATTTATAAGGAGTGAGCATGGCATTATGGGACCTATCCCTTTTACCCAGCTGAATTGTGTCACGTTGTGATGTTAATCACTGAAGAGGCATTTAGGATGTCAGTCCGCGGAGTTAAATAAGAATTGGCCCCATTGCCCAGGCATGTTTCCTTTTGGGGCACGTGCTTCAACAGAGGCACAAACAGCTATCGTCCACTAGGGCTAAGGAGTGGGAGAAAGAAAGGCGACAGATTTTTTAGAATTTTTGAGACTGATTTCGGCCTTTAACCTTCTAGAAATCTTATTTTTGTGGATATTCCAAAATTGTATAGATAGAGTTTTTTAAATAGTATCCCATCAGAAGGAATGCATTATTTATACAATTATGTTGACACTGGAGTATAACTAAAAAATATTACTGCATTATTAGCCTATTTTTTAAGTTAAAGTACCCATGGATATAATAATTTTAATAATTTGAGGCCAGGGGCACTGGCTTATGCCTACAATCCCAGCACTTTGGGAGGCCGAGGTGGGTGGATCACTTGAGGCCAGGAGCTTGAGACCTGGTGAAACCAACATGGCGAAACCTCATCTCTACCAAAAATCCAAAAAATTAGCTGGGCATGGTGGCACACTCCTGTAATCCCAGCTACTCGGGAGGCTGAGGCAGGATAATCGGTTGAACCCGGGAGGCGGAGGTTGCGGTGAGCCAAGATTGCACCACTGCACTCCAGTCTGGGTGATAGAGTGAGACTCCATCTCAAACATAAATAAATAAATAAATAAATAATAAAAAAATTTCGTTAGTAACCCTGGGTGAGTCACTCAAATTCCATTTTTTTATGGTTTATACTACAAGTCAAATTTTAGAATTTGAGCAGTATCTGTTTGTAAAATAAACAATTCAAGCTAAGTACAGATTGGATGCCTGCCTGAAAAGATGAGTTTTGAATTATGTTGAGTTTTAATCTTGCCAAGATTGAAGACCTTTTGAATTTGGTCTTAAGTTTAAAACAGTAATTTTTAATTATTATTAGTTAAAATGTGAAATCAAAGTTTAACCAAGATCACGAAATAGTTTGGTAGAGGTGTAGGGGATTGCGAGATAGGACCCCAATCCTAGGAACCCAATCCTTGTTAACCTGGCCTCTGCAAAACAACCGCAATTCCCAGAAACTACTGCTGAGATGCTGCTCCATGGAACTCCAGGCTCCAGCAACACAACTCAAAGTTCATTGATTGAGGATTCTAGAAAATAAATTTTCTTTGGGATTATGATTTGTAAAATATCATTTAGAAAATAAATTCTGCATGGTTTTAATACCAGTGGAACTAAAATTAAATGGAACAGTGGTTAGTTGCCTAAAGCCATGTTTAGAAGTTACTCACACCAGTCCTATCTGCGACTACACAATAGGACTGTAATATGAATCAATTTTCTGTTGACCTTATAAGTAATACACAAAATCTACTATATCATCAATATGGGTGCAGTTATCCATACTCATTGTGAAGATCAGCTTACAGTAAATGAGATCGATTGGCATTGACTCTTTTATTGCTGTCCACATGTAGACAATAAGTAGCTGAGAAATTTCTGAAATTTGCATTTTTCAAACTGTACTTCAAGGCTCAGAAATGATCTACCTAGAGGGTAGGGATAGATGCAAAAAAAAAAAAAGAGGGGGGATTTCAGGACATCTTCAGTCATCTCCACTTTCCCCTATCATTCTCAACCAAAGCTTCTCTGCTTTGGGGTTTAGTGTATATATTTTAAACTCATTTGAGCAAATAGTGCCTAGGCTAACAATTTTGAAAATGTCTGCCTTCAGCAATTACTTACTCATCTGATTCTACCTCTGTGAAGACATTGTTTCACAATGTTCCTCCTAGCACGAAAAGCATCTTTCTCACTAAAAATTAGTATGAGGGAAGGAAATAGTCAACTCTTCCTCTGCATTAAATGTTAAATGGTTGCAAATCAATCTGAACCCTGAAATCATCTCCGAAAAACCAGCTGAGAAGAACTATTGCCTCCATCAACATGTCTATTTTTAAATTTTCCTTCTTTTCTTATGAAAGAACATAATAATTTTCAAACTAAGTTAATCATGAGAAAGAGGTTTTAAGAAAATTCTAAAATTTAGTATTTTGGGTTCCAAGATTTGAGAATTTTATATCTGATGATTACTTTTAACTCATGTTTAAAGTTCCTAAGTATCCATTTTATTATAACCTCATAAATATAATAAATTATGCACTTTCCTTTAAAAAAAGATGAAAAGCCTTTCAATGCATTAAAAAGATACAGCTCAGATCAAATTTTGAGGACAATGTACAAATTCCTTCAGTAGCAATTGCTTTTCTAATTGAATACAAGAATACCAATTCTAAACTTTACTTTTCTTCCTTAACCTTTAGCAAGTGTACAATGCTCAACAGAAATGACTGCGAATGTTGAAAGTACTTCTCATGGCATCACATATATATGTACATAACTATGTGGTTTTACAAATGTATATTTATATGCTTCTACACTGATACATTATTTGGAAGTTGATAATTACTATTCTTAGTATTTTAGAATTATCAAAATAAAATTAATCAAATTGCTAAAATATAATGATCTGGGGTATGCTGGAGCTGACTAACGTTGGCTGCTGACAGCAAGATATTAGCACTTCTTCCCAACTGCTTATTTGGAGATTACACATTGGTAGCCTGAAATCAGCTAGGATGGGAGTATTTATACCATAGAAATTGGCAAAAACTACAAATAAAGGCTGTTAGAGTTTTGTTTTATTTTTTGGAGAGCCAGTTTACCAGCATGCCGCTGCAGATATCTGATAAAATCATAATGAATGGTTTACACCTTGGTGGCAAGAAAAAGAAAACTAACATATCTTCCAATAGGGGCCAGGTTCTCTTATGAATCTATTATAATTAAACCACCAATATCAAAGGAAGAGGAAGGAGGAAATAAAAAAAATCTTCCACCGCTGGTTTTCCTTCTAAAAGGATTTGATTACACCAATGGGGAGAACACTGAAACCACATTACTGAACTCTGCGCTTTCTTAGCCCTTTAAACTGGAATAGAATTTCACAAAGTGGGGCACATTCTGTCTTTTTACCAAATACATGAGGGTGACTTTAAGTTGCAGTTTTTGTGTAGGGAAGAATCCTTTCAGCCTCCCACTGCAATGTCCCTCATGGTCTGTAATCTGAATAGCTCACAGGCTGTACACAAATTATGTTTGCATTAAGGAATGGGAAAGCCTGTTTACTGGTCTGTGTCCCAACACTGTTGGTTTGGGAACACAATAACAATTCACCCTACAGTGGAGCAACAGCAGGTTCAATAGACTCTTACACACCTTGCAAAGATTACTTAATTGTGTCAGATGAGGAAAGGAAGCCAAGGAACCTGGCAAATCATTTCTTCCCTGGGTGTTTCTGTCACACACTAGCAAGGGCCACCCACAGGTCATTCATGTGGCTGGAGTGAAATTAATCACCTGCTTTCAGTAGGGAGCAGCCTTGACTTCCTCTAGTTCTCAATATGTTTCTGAATATAATGCAAAATGCTCACACTGGTCTATGAAGCCCTAAATGGTTTGAATTCTGGCAACCTCAGGGATGACTTACAGGCCTGAGTAACACTAAACTTTCCAATGAGCTTCTGTATTCATTTTCCTGGGTCAGTTTAGGATTTTATCTAAGGCATAATATTATTCATTCAAAGTATTGTCACAGATGCAGGAAAAGCAACAATAAACAACACAGACATGAAGCTACTTTTTCCACTGAAGGTTAAAAAGCTGCTGCAGAATTATGACCTGAATCAATTTATTTATACATGTGTGTTAACTTGAATGAAAGGTGGTGTCTCAAGTTTTTAAATAAATGACGTCTCTTTTCATTGGATAAATTTTATCCTTTAAGATTCAGATGAGGCAACCTCTACACCAAGAACTCTTCCTGGATAATGTTCCCCTAATTAGCCAAACCAGGGTTTTAGTTCTTAGGCACTATAAATTTCATCGTAGATAGCTTTAATCCCAACTCTTAACTCTCCTCAACCCACTGTAGGTTCACAAACATATCCTGATTACATGAGCAGCCGAGAAACGACCATTACTCTTCACACACACCCTCAGAGAGACAAAGGGTGTTCCTGGAGCCATTCTCTACTTCTTTTTGGGCTGAAGGGTGAAGAAAATGTGGAACTTACCGTTCTTCCAGATTTTCCCTACAGTCTGAACTCTTGGGCAGCCCTTTCCCTACATATTGAATGTGTGTGTATACATATGTGCTTGGAAATTGGCAGAAGGGTATACTACAGGCATGGATACAGTGCTTAAACATATCTAAATTATATCCTTCACTTTGTCATACACCAGGGAAGAGAACATTTTTTTCAAGGCTATAGAAATGTTCATCTCCACTTTATCTGAGAGACACACACATTCATCATGCACCAGTAAGAAGGGACCATTTTAAGTAAATGGCTTCTGGTTTCTATTCCAAATTCCAAAAGATTCTACTAACTCATACTGGAAAAACAAAATAAAACAGGGGAAAAAAAAGCCTTCAAAAGTTATTTCACTGTATATGTGCCACCAGGATAGAATATTTATGTTGAACATGTTTTACAAAGAAAGGCAAAAAGCCTTCCTAGAATACTTTCTTCCCCTGAAGATATCTTAAGAACTACAATTTCCCTTCCAAGTAGAATGGTGTGAGATGATCAAACTGAAATATTTTAATTCTCATAATCCTCTAATTTGTGATTTGGTGATTACAAATAAGTGTGAGGATTGCTGAGTAATCACATCTAACTTGTATATCTTCCATACCACCTTTTCTCGGGACGTTCAATAGCCCATTTCAAATACTTAGACCTGTTAGTTAATTTCACTATTGGTCAAATATCCAACGACTGTGAATGTAGAGTTTTAAAAAAAAGAATTGGAAGAGATTTGTATTAGCTTATCCATATAATACTTTATGTTTTAATGACAGTCTACCGACAAAATTTTAAAAAGCTTATCAGATGTCTATCAGATGTATCCATTGCTCTACATAAGCATCCAAGGTTTTATTAACCCTTGAAGCTGTTTAATTACTTTAATGAAATAAAAGCATATAAAAATACACTGATATTGAATTAAGTGTAAGATGGAAATGAAATATTGATAGCAAATTATGGCTGTCTATAGGCTATAGCCACTGTAGCTATTATAGCTATAGTTTTCCATCCAGAGACAGGGTTAGGAGGATTATGAATCAGAAGTCCAGTCATATCAGAAAACATCATTTTCAACTCTTTATATTCAATCTCAAGTGTAAGACGGGATTAGAAACCTCTACTGAGATATTCTTGCTGTCTTCTGGGCCTCTAGTCTAATAATAAACTTTCTTAGAATTGACTCTTCTAGATTCTTTGCCCCTCTATCTAAACTTCTCTACTATCAACCCCATCCCTTAAGCCCATTATCTAATAGTTAAGAAAATAAGGGACTATGGAAAAGTGAGGATGGTTGGCTAAGAAGCCATATGTCCCACACTTCAAAGATGCCTCCTTGGTCTACCATTGCAAGATTGTCGTGTGTGTGTGTGTGTGTGTGTGTGTGTGTGTGTGTGTGTGCGCGCGCGCGCGCACGCGCGCGCACATGTATGTAGAGAAAAAAGAAAAATATTTTATGAATGTGTGTTAATATCTGAATAATAGTCTATATTTTAAGAAATATTAATTTTTAGTTCCAAATGTAGTTTCACAACTTTAAAATTGGGGGAAGAACATGTCTGTTTTCCAGATTCTTTTATGAGGTGACAGTAACAATTTAATAAAAGCTATGAAAGAATGAATGAATGGCCTCAACAATATGAGTCATGTGACTCCACAACACATTCCTTCATCTTGTCTTTTGTCTGCTTACTTTTTTAACTAAAGAGTTAATAAAAGGGCCAGGCGCAGTGGCTCACACCTGTAATCCCAGCGAGGCTGAAGCAGGCGGATCACCTGAGGTCAGGAGTTTGAGACCAGCCTGACCAACATGGTAAAATCCCGTCTTTACTAAAAATACAAAAATTAGCCAGGCATGGTGGCAGGTGCCTGTAATCCCAGCCACTAGGGAGGTTGAGGCAGGAGAATCACTAGAACCCAGGAGTCAGAGGTTACAGTGAGCTGAGATCATGCCACTGTACTCCAGCCTGAGCAACAGAGCGAGACTCTGTCTCAAAAAAGAGTTAATGATTGCTCTTTAATTTGTCTCTTCTATTAAGTTCTTTAATATTTTAGTTATAAAGGTACCAGATCCTTTGGAAATGCACTTGCCAAAGGGGGGTAGACCTAAGCAAGAATATAAAAAAGATACTGATTCTGATAAGCTAAACTTAGGGTAGCAATTGCCTACAATAAATAAAATGACTTTCATCTGATTGAGATATGAAAATTTCCATTTCTAGTTTTCAGATCCTCCTGGCATAACTGATGTATTTGATGGAGTCAGTAATACATCTGTTAAGAACAATCATTTTCAGCTGATCTTTATAGCTCTCTCAGGTCTAATAAAACAGTACTTGGAGCATTTTTGAAATAAGAATCTAAGACTCAGAAACAGTTTAATATCCCTAATAATTCTGGGGTGATAGGGCTGTGAGGGAATTATGATCAGGAATTATAGTAGTTACTAGACACCCATCTGTAAATGCTATCCCTAATAATTCCCAGACAAGAGTCTGGAATATCCAATTATCCAAAGAAGAGAGATGTTCTTATATTATAACACATTGTTGGGGTCCTTAGACATTCCTCTCCTCTTTGTTTCTTCCAGAATAGCACTTGGATAAGTGTCAGGGTTCAGCATGTGACCTCTCAGACTCTCAGGGTTTGGCTTCTGGTTCAACATTGCTAGCTGTCAACAATGATTAAGTCCCATAGTCTCCCTAAAGCTAAGATTTCTCCTTGTAAAAAGGGAAGGGAAAATTACACTACTACATTACTACCACAGAGTGGTTATGATGATTAAATGGAACAATCCCCACATAGCACTCAGCACAGGACCTGGCAGTTAATAAATGCTCATTAAGTGCTACCTATTATTAGACTTTTATATGTTAACTCTTGAAAGAAAACCTTAAAAACCAACTATCGTAGTCCCTTTTCCTAAGGATGAGATGAATGAGGTCCAGAGAAGCAATAACTTGCCTAAAATCTGGTTGGTAGAAATACTGAGACTAGAACCCTGGTCTCTTTATTTCAGTTCAAAGATCTTTTCCCTGCATTATATTACAAGGCAGGTAGGACAGAGAATATCCTAGTAAGGTCCTGGTTGGTATTTCCCAAAAGCATCAGATCACAACAACAGCTAAGATAAAAAAGAAAATGCAGAAACTGAGACAAAACATAACACCTTAATAGAGAGAAAGAACTGTAGGGCTACAGTTAAGGTGAGGATTTAGAGTTCAATCAGTTTGATCCTCATTTTGTCACTGGCTGTATTTGTGGCCAGAATATCCATTTACTTTGTCCCTATTCTTGGAATATAAAAATAGAAAGAAAAATATTATCAAATGACATTGGGCTGTTGTCAAGAAAAGCCAATAAAAATGATTACTCTAGCAATATAAAAGTGCTCCATAAAAGCTTAATAATCAACAGTATTTAAGAGGTATACCACTGAGTATCTGACAGGGTGCCCATGTTTTATAAACAGCATTTATGGACTTCCACAACCAAAATTTTCATTCTTTGTGAGTTGTGTATAAATTTAGGAAGTGGTTGAAACCACATTTCAAATCAAAGCCGCTCACGAGGCACCCTGCCAAATAAGTGTAAATATCCTTGGAAAATCTCACATCTAACACACAGCTTGGTAGAAGTGGACCTATCTTTTGGAAAGCTGAAAAATAGATGGTTACCTTGGGTCTTAGGGAAAATATTGTTCTGGGAAACATAAATAATTTTTTAAATTCAGAAATATGAGCTGGGTATTTCATTTTCTTATACACAATTATCATTCTAGAAATTCTAAATTTTGCATCTATTCTTTTCGTTAATAATTTGAGTATCAGGACATACATTATATGCAACGTTTTTATAGTAAGCAGCAGACTGCATCTTAGCCCCTGAAGCACTGCCTCATTCATATTTTGTCCAAAGTGCATTGGCATAGGGAAGTGCCCTGTACCTAACTGCAGAATTTAATTGAGATTATGAATATGATTGTTTTCAATGTCATTCCCTGAATTTCATACTACCCCCATACCAAGTAAGAATTCATTAAGGTCAAAAGAGTACATCTTGTTTTTGTTTTGGTTTGGTTTACTTTTTCTGAGACAGGGTCTCACTCTGTCACCCAGGCTGGAGTACAATGGCACACAATAATGGCTCACTGCAGCCTTGACCTCCCGGGCTCAGGTGATCTTCCTGCCTCAACCTCCAGAGTGGCTGGGACCTCAGGCACACACCACCACACTCTGCTAATTATTTATTATTTGTAGAGATGGGGTCTCCTTCTGTTGCCCAGGCTGGTCTCAAACTCCTGGACTCAAGTCCTCCTGCCTCGGTCTCCCAAAGTGCTGGGATTACAGGCATGAGCCACCGCACCTGGACAAAAAATCATATCTTATTCATCTTTGTGACTCCAATACCTAGCACAGAAGAAAGTTAATATAAAGGGAAGGGAAAAAGAAAGGAAGAATAGAAAAGAAGGAGACAGAATGGGAAGGAAGGAGGGAGGAAGGAAGGATAAAAAAGAGGAGGAAGAGAAGCAGGGAGACACTAAGTTAATTTTTCTATTCAGGGAATGGCAATAGGAAACTCCTCCCTCTTTTCTTGATCATTACTGATGGCATCAATTTGCAAGATGTACTGAGACCATGAAAATAAAATGCAGCCAAGATCAACATACAGAACATTTAAAGTCACTCAGAGCTACACTTCCAACTAGCATCAGTCAAAGACCCTGTGGCAGCCACCCAATCAATATCACTGATTGATAGCCCTCTGGATAGGTTACCTTGGTTGTACCACATCACTGAATATGACCACAGCAGAGTCCTCTACTGGGGAAAATCAATAGGCTACCATGGAGAAGAGGAGACGTAAGAGAGAATTCCTTCATTGAGAGCCAATGAGCACAGTGACACTGCTCAGCAGGAGACCCCAAGGATATAATCACTAAAGGGGGCTTCAAAGTTCTCTACTCATGACTGAATGGGGCAGTGTCCCACAGATGTTTTGAACACTCCTCTTCCTCTAAAGGAATCATTGTCAGAGGTGCGCTGAAATGTTTTGGTCCCAGGCACGTAAAAAGCTGGGCAGGCAGCGTGGCAAACTAGGGAGAGGTGGACATACTTGGAGAATTTAAAACAATGACAATAACCAACCAACTTCAAAGATCAAAATACAAATGACATCCCCCCATAACAAACAGGTTGGTAGTAAATAGTAAAAGAAGTAAAATAAATAACATTTATAGTTCCCCCAACATTTCCATAGGTATTAAAGTAATAATCATATCTAAAATTTTTAAGCCTGATATTCACAGAAATTATTTTCTTAGATTTTCTCTTTGTACCTATTTTTCCCCTTAACCCTGTTGCACCCTCTTAGATTGTCTGTCCACGCCCCTCCAGGCAGCTGTAGAATCCTAAAGCAACCCATGGTAGCCACCCATTTCCGAACAGTACAGCCCAGTGGAAGATGCTGCTACTTTAACCCAGGTTAAAATGAAATACAGTGGAAGGCAGAGGAAATGCAGTACAGGGCACCTGGGAATTTGGACCTGATATGATGTGATAGATCTCCTTGTCACCTCTACCTTCTGTGATCCCATGAGATTCATCACAGCGGAGTAATTTGTGCTTGTCACATAAGAGCAGGCAAGGCTACTAGATACCTCAACCCAGAAAGAAACGACAGGCAGCATTTCTGAATCTAACCAAGAGGACAGTACCTACCCAACTCTAAGAAACACTGTAAATTGCCCTTTGTGATTACCTTCAAGTTGAACTTCACCTATTGTTTCAATCACCTTTGAATGCCCATGATAAAGTCTGATTAATTAAGATATTTTTCTGTCAGAATCTGTAACATTTAAGGCAGAGAAGAGTGCTGTTTGCTTTCACTGACCAGACACATTTTTAATCAAATAAATGAATAGAATAAGCAAATATGCAAGAGAAATATATAAATGAGTGAACAAATTATTATCTATAATTTAAATTTCATCAATTTATATTCAATATTTGACATTTGTTGACAACTTACTACATAAAATATTTCATTAATTCATTTGCAGTTAGTTATCATAACCTGAAACATAATAAAACTTAATTTCTTTTAAAATATATTATATATTAGACTTCCTACTGATTCAAAAAATCCTTCTATCAACCCAAATCATAAGCATATACCTAAAATCACATCATTTCTCTGTTTCCCACAACTTTAGAAATCCCAGTTAAAAAATATGGTCTGTGCCATGTCAGATATGTTCTGTATTTAAAAGCATGATTAATTTCTAAGATGTATGAAAATGACACATTAAGTAACTTGTGGATATGCAAAGTGATTTCCAGACATCATACCTGAGGCTCAAACCTTAAATCTAAAGAAAAGTAGTTAAGTTTTGCTTTGCTGAGTAAATTAAAACCCACACCCCACTTTTTATCACATGCCTTACCTTTTCCAGGGAAAAATTCCCATCTTCTAAACCTCAATGTCTGGCCCCTGGGACAGTTGTGTGTTAGAATAAAGATTCAAAATGAAAAGAAGCATACGATTTATCCAGAGCTGGAATATGCCAATAACAATGTTAATTAATATAATCTGGCATCATATTCATAGAATTTTAGGGATACGATGAAAGAAGTAGACCTAAAATATCTAGAATAGTCACCTACCATATTGTAGTATCTGATTTTGGGGAAATGTATATCAAGGTAAAAGTCCAGTCATTACTTTCTCAATCTGATGGTCAGATGCCAAAACATTCCTCAGACCACTCTCATGGAGTAGGTTTTCTCCCAAGGAGCACACGGTGGTTCAGTCCGTATTTGGACCCTTGGATGACAAACATCATTGGTTAAACCGAGGCGCTTCTAAAGGAGTAAACCCAATCTTTTAAATGGACACAGAAGAAACTTTATCTTTGAGGATCTTTGGGGCTGGAAAGTATTTATCGGTCATATTAGACTAGAGAAAGATCATGGAAACTGTTGGCCTCCTTTACCACTGTGGATGTGTTGGGGTGAGGGAAGGATCTAGTCTCCAGGGACGAAACTCTGTTGAATTTATCTTGCTCTGGGAATATTCTATTCCAATTCTGCACAATTGAGCAGTAATAGTGAAAACCCTCCAACTTTCAAGTTACAGCTCCAAAATGAAGAGAATCCAGTACCTTTTTGTAATCATAGGAACCCTCAATTATTTATGCATATTGTAGAAAGTCGTGTCTTCAATAATAAAATGATTATTTATGTTTGACTTCACAACATATTCTGTATTTGGGGTTTTTCTTTTGTTTTTGGCAACATCGACAGACTTATTTTCCTAATTATGTTTGACCCCAATTAATGTTACAATTAACATTCTCTGAGCATACCCACATATACACACACTACTCACCAACCGATGGTGGAGAGAATGCCCAGAAACATAATGTGAGATAGGGAAGGGTGGTCTGAGATTATACTTTTGCTGCCAACAATTCACACACTATATAATCTGGATCAAGAAGAGGATGGCTGTATTTATACCAGGCATTTTCTAGAGCCAAATAATCACATTAGCTAATTCCCATCCATAAAATATATGTAGCCTCAGTAATTACTTATTAAACTAAGTCTATCAGCACACAGAATACTTTTTTAAAGCAGATTTATCTAGTTTGACTGCATATATCAATCCAATTAAGGTAATTGCCAGATCTTTCTAGTACTGGCTGCTACATAGACCTGCCTGAGTCCTCTCTGGTAGTCCTCTCTGGAGATATTTGGGAATGTAACCTTAGCTCTTAGTCCTGCCACTTTGGGAAATTAAGCACAGCTTCCCTTGATTTCTGGAAAACATCTTCTAGACTTTTTCCTCTCCCTCAATGACCCAGGTGGCCTGGTCTTCCGAATAGCAACTCCCTTCCCCATCCACCCATTGCATCTGACCCTCGCGGTTGCTCACCTATGTTCTCTTCAGCTTGGCTGCTCTCCCCAGTCTCCGTTGGAGGCTGGGCTGTTGCCTTGGCAGCAGCATCCTCTGCGGCAGGGGTGGTGGCAGCAGCAGCAGTGACAGCAGCAGGCACATCGGCTTGTTTAGGCTCCTCCTTGGCTGGGGCATCTTCAGCCTTGGAGGACGGCGAGTTATCAGTGGAAGCTTTAGTGGCACTTTCTGTCTCAGCTGAGCCGGCCTTCTCCTCTGAGGATGCAGGAGCCTGGGGGGCTGCCTGCTCTGTGGCAGCATCACCCTCCCCCTTCTTCTCCTCGGAAGGAGTTTCTCCTGCTTTGCCGGGCTCATCAGGCTTGGAGCCAGTGGCTGGGGCTGCTTCGGCAGTAGTGGTGCCTTCTCCCTTCTTCTCCACCCCATCGGCAACAGGGGCTTCATCCTTCTTATTAGCTTCAGCCTCAGCAGCTTGGACATCATCCTTCTTCTCTCCTTTGAGCTTTTTCCTTGTTATGTGTCCACGGAAGCTAGCCTGAATTTTGGTTGCGGCCTTATGAGCTTTATCTTCTGGTTTGATACCATCTTGTTCAATCTTTTGGTCGTCATCATTTTTTTCAACCTTTGTCGAGAAAAGAAGGGAAAAGAGAGGGCTTCAATGACATTCTTCTCCTTTAAATCTCAGCATTCAACAAGTATTTATTAAGTGATTTATTTTGTGCCAGGCACTGTTTTTGGAGTTAAGAATTCAACAGTACCCTGGAAGTTCAAATCAAACCTCATCTTTCTCCCACAGTATTGTATGGGAAAAGTAATGTCTTTCGGACCTTCCAGAATCACTGGCCATTTTTTTTTTTTTTTTTTTTTTTTTTTTTTGAGATAGAGTCTCAGTCTGTCACCCAGGCTGGAGTACAATGGCGTGGTCTCAGCTCACGGCAACCTCCGCCTCCCAGGTTCAAGCAATTCTCCTGCCTTGACCTCCCAAATAGCTGGGATTACAGGCATGTGCCACTACACTCGACTAAGTTTTGTATTTTGTAGAGACGGGGTTTCATCATGTTGTTCAGGCTGGTCTCAAACTCCTGACCTCAGTGATCCGCCCACCTCCACCTCCCAAAGTGCTGGAATTACAGGCGTGAGCCACCGCATCTGGCCACTGGCATTATTTTCTACGTATTTTCTTTCCCCGGCTCAATGTTGCTCCATGTCAAACTTAAACCAGCCTTTTTTTTAGAAGTACTTTGACAACTCAAATCACATTTACAAGCTGGGTGCAGTGGTTCACACTTGTAATTCAAGCACCTTGAGAAGTGAAGGCAGGAGGCACTTGAGCATAGGAGTTCGAGACCATCCCTGGCAACATAGTGAGACCCCATCTCTACAGAAAATTTTAAAATTAGATGGGTGTAGTGGCATGCACCAGTGGTCCTGGCTACTCAGGAGGCTGAGGAAGGAGGCTTACTTGAGCCTGCGAGGTCGAGGCTGCAGTGAGCTGTTGTTGTGTCACTGCACTTCAGCCTTGGTAACAGATTGAGACCCTGTCTCAAAAAAGCAAGCAAACCAGAAACAAAAGCAAAAAATAAATCACATTCACCCCAGGTTTTTATTAAAGAGCTCTGAAAGATAGAGGGTTTACAGGGTTTTTGAGAAGGACTTTGTATAAAACTTAATGGTTTAAAAAAATATTTTGCAAAAGTCTACTTTCCCCCAAGTTTTAAGCCTGATAAGGAAATTAATAAATTCAAGACAAAGAGTATAGTCAAAGTTTAAACCATAAATCCCATCAGGATTTTATGCAAAATGTAAATGAGTTCCAGGTCTTTAAGGGATTTGTTCAGAATGTGACAACTTAACAATGCTGGTCACAAAATAATGTCTAACTTTCTCTTGCGTGTGGTCCAACATTAGCAATAAACTTACCAAACCTTCAAAATCTGAATTAAAAAAGACCACTATTCCTGAATTTTAAAAAATGATGGGAAACACTGTTTCTCCTTTTGAAAAAGCAACTTATATTAACTAAGTCACAATTCTTTATTCCCAAAGCAATTGGGAACCTAAAATGTGTTCGTATTATCATCAATAGAGCCATCTTAGTACTAAAGACAAGAGACTAGCATATAGAATGTTACCTTTTGATGGCAACATTTGTAGCCTAATATATGCTGCAAATGACTATTTTCCACATGAAAATTAATTCAGAGGATAGGAACAGCAGGTATGGTCATAGAAAGAATTGTGTAGGCAACTACATAAAATTTTATCCAGTTCCATTGTTTACCATGGTGCCCCAACATGGCTACTGATAGTCTCCATTCTTAGATTTCTTTAACTTGAGCATTGAACTTTTGTTCACTTTTGTGAACACTGTTCTAGCAGAAATAACAGCAAAGAACAACACAGCAACTTTCCCTCAAAAGACCACTAATAAAAGAGTGTTTACCATGTAACATGTTCGGCGCCTCTTCTCAATCTTGGATTGGCCTTGACCTTTGCTCCAGTTTAGGAGGTAAGCTAATACAGAACTACTCAGGACAAGTTTTCCACCTGTCAAACCAGCTCTGCCCCAGTGACCCAGCTCCTGCTAATCATGATGTGGGGCTGTTAGACATTCTTTGGACAAGCGTACAGACCTATTGCTGCATAGGACCATCAACATACCAGTGGATACACAAAAGTATTTTTGAAAATGAGCTACATGTACAAGTAAAAGCAGGTCTGATAATTTTCTCAGTCAAATTCAAGTCAACTTTTCCTTTTTCCTTAGTTAACCATGCATGTATATACACACAAAGATTAAAGGAGTAAATGAAAAGCACTTTGGAGAGGCCCATCCTTCTCCCTCCTCCACTGCTCAGTTCTCTGATGTACTATCACCTTCTCGCTAACCTGCTGCTCTTGATGACTCCTACTGGGATGAGCACAGCCCAATGTGAGACACAGGAGCAGCTGTCCCTGCCAGGAGTTCTCTGCTCAGAGATGGAAGCATAACCCTGTAAAATTAACAGTTGTGAATGGAGCATGGAGCCAAGATGTTGATAATTTATTTTACTCTACCTTGAGTTTTCTGAATGAAGCACCATCTTATATATTAGGACACCTGCACTTGGGCATTGATGCCAACTGGTTCTTTAATACAAATACTGCTGTTTGTGAAAGTAGACAAGTCAATTGTTTCAGAAGGAGCAGGTGTCCACAAAAGACTCTCTAGTGACTCAAGAAAGCTAACATTTTAGAGCTCTGTCTTTTCTTTATGAACATAAGGAGTAGGGGGATGAAACTCCTGAAAAGCTGGAAATCACAAAGAGAAGGAAGCTGAGAGTCTACATGATATAAACAAAGAAACTACAAGGATAAAGAAAGGGCTCTCAATTTTCTCTCCCTCCTCTTTCTCTTTCTCTCTCTCTCAATTTCTTAAAGCATCTGCAACTTCAATTTTCTAAAAAATCAGAATTTAAGCTTCTGAACACAGCATCTATGTTAGAATGACTTTTTAGAAAGGCTAAGACTAGACTAGGGTGCCAAGATTGTGAGACAAACCTCACTTAAACAACCCAGAAGTATAAGAAATTCAAGGGAAGCAGGAGTGAGCAGAAACGGGGAGAACCATGAAAAACAAGAGTTAGGAGAGAGAGGTGAAGACAGTCTTATAAGAGCCAGGTACCCAAATAAGTGACTATACCCAAAAAGATGCTCAAAGTACTCCACACGCATGTAGCTCATCCTGGAGAAACTGCTGGACTTCATCATTAGAGATTTAGGAAAACTAAATTTTAGAGATTAGTTGGGAAAAAAAAGACAATTAATAGAAGTTTTTCCAGATAGCAGTAAAGAAACAGACGCAGGGAAATGAAAGGAAAGGAAAGGAGAGGAGAGGAGAGGAGAGGAGAGGAGAGGAGAGGGATGTGGGAAGGAGATGAAGAAATGAAAGAGGAGAGGGGAGGAAAGGGAAGGAAATAAACCAGGCTAAGAAGAGGTCAGACTTCAGTGATTGAATAGAGACATCCATAAATAAAAATATTTTAAGTTAATACTGGGTTTGAAGCTAGACACCACTGGATTTTGTTTGTGTGTCTTTCTTTTGTATTTCTAATGATTCTATTAATATTCCTTAAACTGCAGGTTATTTCTTGGTAAAATTCTTTTCACAGTACAGTATAAAAGTAAGTGGACTGGGAGTGTATTTTGTTGTGTATTTTGTTAAGACAAGGAGAAAAAGAACATTTCCCAAAACTGGCTATGTGGAGTAACCCCAGGTTCTGAGAACGCTTTGACCCTTTCCCCACTAGAAATAGAAGCGCTTACTTAAGATGAAGGACATTCAAGCCCAGAGAAACCAGACTACTCAGCACATTCAGCAAAATACTTTCACTTTCCAAAAGGGACAGCCCTGGCCCTGAAAAGTTAAGTGACTTGCCTAAATTCATACAGCGAGTGAGGGAGGCAGTGGCCCAGCTTGTATTTGACCTCAACTCTTCTCCCCTCCCACCTACTTCCAAGTCCAATTTTATTGCATGGCTGACCTGGAATAGCTTGGACTTACTTGTAGTAGATAATCCATAAGGCTTCACATCAGCATTCTCGTTGATTTATTCACTTAAAAATACTCAGTGCCTATGTTAAGCACTATACAAATGCTACTGAACGGAAGGATACTGTGTCTACCCACATAGAATCCTTTTGAAAATACACTTAAACCACATCATAGTGCTTTAACAATAAATAACTTCCCAGGAATTTGCAGTAGACACCTGATCTTACACTCTTCTTTTCAAGTAAGGACAACACTCTAAAACTGTGAGTTAAGATGAAATGTCCAGAAAAGGAATCCTGCTATCTAATGGCTAAAAAGTCAGCTCATAAATGTCACTAAAGATAGATTTAGTTTTTAAACTAAGTCTTGCCACAAATAAGCTTTGTAATGAACTCTAATGTTTCTGAGGGAATTTCAAAGTTATTTCATTTTTACACAGAATTGTTGATATCTGCGAATTAAGTAAAGAGGACATTCCAGTGCAGTACATTATAGGTAGGAAGGGTGTCATTACGAGTTACCATAAGTTTTTCAGGAATCTTTATTGTTATGGCTTAATATTTTTTACTGACTGATTTGTTTGAGAGCTCTGCAATTTATGAAGTCTTAAAGGAAACCAAGGTGTAGGACATCCCTACTTTTTAAACAAACATTAAAATCTCAGATGAATATTGGTTGGAAAAAATGAAGAGTACCATTACACTAACTTGTTGACACTAATGAAACTTCTAAATCCATTAGATGAATGAACAATGATTTTAATTGATATTTAAGAATTACAGATAAGAAAGCCAGAAATAAGAAGTAATTACTTAAGTATCCAACATTGTTGCTCTGGTCTTCTTTTCCTTTGGGGAAAGGAGGAATGGACAACTTAAGATTTATTCTAAAATGTCCAAACATTTGCATTCAATATGTTACAAAAGAGCTCTAGGCAAAAATCCATGAATGGCTAACTTTCAGAACTAAAAATAACATCATCCATTCATCTGGGATACCTCAATGCATTTCACTTTTCCCAGTTATCATAGGAATGCCTCAACCTTCCAAGCAAATTAAAACTTGGCCCTATATCTACTTCTGCTAGCTATAAATAGTACCATTATAATACTTAAATTTTTAAAAAATAGTATTGAATTTTAAATGCATTACAAATCATTGATGTACACATATTCTTCTTTCTGAGAACATCTTTAGTAAACCAAAATATAGTTCATTTGATCAAGCAAAGTTATTTTTGAGAACAAACTTGAAAGGCCGGAGATATCCTAAGCAATGTTTTTTTAAATATGTTGTAGTTTTCATGCCTATCAGAATCTTCTACAGCCTGTAAAGGAACCAGAATAAAGTGTTGATAAATATAAATAAAATCTGGGAAGTACCTACTTATGGCCCACTTTATTTTTTATTAATAATTTATTGAGGTGAAAGTCACATAACAAAATTTCACTCTATTTTTAAGCATCATTGATACCATGGCAATTGACTTTAGGGAAAATGTGCAAGTATTAAAGTAGTTCACAGTGGAGCTTCTGTACTTTCTTTAAACCTAGACAAAGATCAAAAATACAGTAAAATACCCCTTAGGGAGGAGAGAGAAGACAGTGGGCCAGCCTCCTCCAGTTCTATAGATGGAATGTCACTGCCGGTTTCGGTGCAGGTGTAAGGAAGAAAGTGTCCTTTAAAAAGATGAAATGTCCAACAATGATAGACTGGATTAAGAAAATGTGGCACATATACACCATGGAATACTATGCAGCCATAAAAAATGATGAGTTCATGTCCTTTGTAGGGACATGGATGAAATTGGAAACCATCATTCTCAGTAAACTATTGCAAGAACAAAAAACCAAACACCGCATATTCTCACTCATAGGTGGGAATTGAACAATGAGATCACATGGACACAGGAAGGGGAATATCACACTCTGGGGACTGTGGTGGGGTCGGGGGAGGGGGGAGGGATAGCATTGGGAGATATACCTAATGCTAGATGACACGTTAGTGGGTGCAGCGCACCAGCATGGCACATGTATACATATGTAACTAACCTGCACAATGTGCACATGTACCCTAAAACTTAGAGTATAATAAAAAAAAAAATTAAAAAAAAAATTAAAAAAAAAAAATAAAAATAAAAAGATGAATAAGCACAGTGGGCATACACCGGATCCCCCAACATGCAGTCTGGTTTGAAGACCTCATACCTAGGGTATGAGGGGAATGGGGAGCAGAGTGCGCAGAGAAGCAATGAAACTGTATAAGAAAACAAAATATCTCATATTGGAAACTGCAGTAGTAATGTTAACTTTTCAGATAAGAGCTGGTGATCAAAAGATGGGTCTTCAGTCCACTTTAATGTATTATTTATTCAACATGTACAGCCCACCTGCTTCCAAAATAATATGAGGTGGTATCTTCAACATAGTATAAAGCATTATCAGAGTAGAACTCAGTTTCCAGTCTGAAAAGTTGTTTTCTTTTATTTTGTATATCTATAACCCTATTATGTCCCACAAAGACATAGAAGAGGTAAATAATGTATTGCAACTGATGCCTTCAAACAGAAAAAAAGTCAGCCTTTGAGAAGTACCTTGTCTATTTTACTTAGAGCTGAATGCCAGTTTCTAGAATGGTGCCTGGCACAAAGTAGATGCTCAATTAATATTTATTGGATGAATCCAAAATCTGAGCATCTCCATTAGTGCTATTTCAGAAAGATGATGACAGGTGAAGAAATCTGGATTCGATTTTGTCAATTTTTGTTAAAATCCTTCACTTCTCAGTGGTGGAATTCAAGAGCATCTAACTACAACAGGTATATGATTCCCCAATTATAGAAATTAGTAAGCAGAGGTTTAACAAGAAAAGAAATAGCAAAGCTATAGAAACGCCATTGATCATAATAATAAACAAGCACTTGAAAATAATAATACATCTAAGATAAAGACAACTGATTTATATTTATCTATTGACTCGTTAGAGTCATATCAATAAAATTATTTTTCTGTGTGTGTGTGTGTGTGTGTGTACTTTTTCTTTCTTTTTTTTTTTTTAGACAGGGTCACTCTCTGTCACCCAGGCTGGAGCGCAGTGGCACTATCTCAGATGACTGCTGCAGCCTTGACCTCCCAAGCTCAAGCAATCCTTCCACTTCAGTCTCTCAAATAGCTGGGGCTACAGCTATGTGCCACCATGCCCAGCTAATTTTTATATTTTTTGTAGAGATGGACAACATTTCACCATATTACCCAGGCTGGTCTCAAACTCCTGGACTCAAGCCATCTTCCTGCCTCGGCCTCCCAAAGTGCTGGGATTACAGTGTGAGGCACTGCTCCCTGCTTATATGCGTTTTCACTAGCAAAACTGGTGAAAGTGGCTGGGTGCTGTGGCTCATGCCTGTAATCTCAGCACTTTGTGAGGCTGAGGTGGGCAGATCACCTGAGGTCAGGAGTTTGAGACCAGCCTGACCAACATAGAGAAACTCTGTCTCTACTAAAAATACAAAATTAGCCAGGTGTGGTGGCACATGCCTGTAATCCCAGCTACTTGGGAGGCTGAGGCAGGAGAATTGCTTGAACCCAGGAGGCGGAGGTTGCGATGAGCTGAGATCACACCATTGCACTCCAGCCTGGGCAACAAGAGCGAAACTCCGTCTCAAATAAATAAATAAAAGTGGTGAAAATATTCATGGGAGATTGCTGGAGAATCTCTGCTCCCTACTATTTATATTTAATCTGTGTATTGCTCTCCAAAGCTTAAGGGGAGTAGGCTGGGAATAACTAGTCCCTTAGTTATTCAAGGAAGGAAGTCTCCTTCCCTAAACAGGGGTTGGAAGAGCCCAGTGTTGCGATGAGGCACGTTAATCATGCTGGTCATGTACCAAGGCACAAGCCAGACAGAATCACTTGACTAAACTCCTCTAGAAAACTTTTGGATATAGCAGACATAGGTATAAGTTACCTAACTGAATCAAGGGTCAAAATCACTGAGACTCAGGAAAATACCTATGGGAAGTCAGCCCTGGGAGGAAGCATCTCTACTCTTGAGCAATGGGAGCAAACCCTCTGATGAACACTGCCCATTACAGAAGCACATGTTGATTCCCTCAAGAAATGACATGCTCAAAGGACAGAAGGGCTGGCAAAGTGAGGGGGACACTAGACTCTGCTCTCAGAGAGGTTGCTATGCCTTTAGCAGCCACTGTGAGCTAGGAACAAAAGGGTGGAACTCCCCATCACTCAGCTAAAAAGGCTATCACAGACCAGTCCATGAGAGGGACTGTGAGGCCTCTTCTGCTAGCAACTGAAGACAGAAGAAGAGCTGCAGGAAGCCAATGCATCAAGAAAAAGACAGAAAAGCAGTTTACCAGCAGACAAACCCCTGTACTACCACCAGAGGCAAATCTTTCCCAGCTGAGAGGCCCCAAGAGCAAAGCACATGCCAAGCTCCTGAAGATGGTCAGAGCTCACCAGCAGGAAGAGGGCCCCAGAGCCCAGGGAACTTAGCATAAAACAATCTTCCTTCCAGGTAAGACACTGCGAAGTGTCTTTTGTTGGATACTCAAAAATGTGAGATGCAATAAGATAAGTATTTTCTTAAATTACTACAGTCTTCCTACTATAACAAATAATGATTGTTCATCTATTTTTTCTTAATTAAACCCCCTTCATAAGTTACAGTCTGAGTCAGCAGGTACTTGAGACATTTTGTTCAATGAATAAATGAGTCAGAGACTTTTCTCACCCACTCTACCACACACCCTTCTTCAAATGTTGTCACTCTTGGTCCACTTCTCTGTCTTTCCCCTCTTAGTTCTTATGATCATCTGCTGTATGTTTTTATTTTATTACTAACTGAACTTCGCTTGGGCTATAAACAATCTGAGAACAGAACTTTATCTGTTTTTTTACAATCTTCTAAGCTTCAGTGGCTAAAATAGTGCTGGCACATAGTTGATACTAAAAAAAAATGTTATTTTTAGTTGTTGCATGACCACATGCCATACTGTGTTGGTGCTCAGAGAGTGTGTAAACTCTCTGTGTGTGAACACTCAGCTCACTGGCTGGGTGTTCTCGCTCCAGGTCACTAATGCTGGAGCCTTCATCACGCCACTCTCCAGCAGTCATTTTCCTCTCTCTTCTTACATTTATAAGTGCACAGTATATATATTTAGTATTTCAATTCAATCCTCATCATGATCATGTGAGGAACACATCACTGTGCCTGTTTTATAATCAACACAGATGAGGAACCAGGAAGGAGTCCAGCGTCATCCAGCTTCTGAATGACAAAGCCCTTGCTTAGTCCTCCTCCTGTAAAAGTCAATATTCCCTGGTGCTTAAGAGCATGGGCTGCGGAGTTAGACATGTGTAAGTTTGAATTCCAGCTCTGCCAGTTACTTGGTAGATCCTGACCTTGGGCAAGTCAGCTTTAGGCTCCTCATCTGCAGGATGAGGGAATAAAAAAACTATCCCATTGGGCTGATATGAGAATCAAATGAGTTAATGCACATAAAGCACCCAGCACAGTCCCTGACACTTTGTACATACTCAGAAAGGGGTGGCTGCTACCATTATTCTCATCATAATTATTGCCATCACCATTATTCTCTCAGAGTAATTTCTAGAGCATCGTGACATTAAGTTAAGGCATGTTGATAAGACAAATACCAGAGGAGATTTGGTCATGAGACTGTATTCATCCTGATGATTGTAGGTATCATCACTCAGAGGGTGGAAAAGCTATTTCTTAACTCGACAGTACTACTGAGCTATATCTATTCTCAAAGAAAGAGATAAGCAGGAAACCATGTAAAATGTGCCATAGTACTCAACTCTGTTCTTTCTTATCTTGGGAAGGGGGAAGATCTGTTTACATTGTCAAAGTTAAACCACAGTCCCACTCTACTATCACCTGACACACACCAACTGATTCCTTCTCAGTCTTCTCTAACTTACCCACCCCCCAAAACTTCACCTAGTGTAGGAGCTTAGTGATAGAAATTCACTGAAACTAGAAATCTATTCATTCCCAAAATATGTGACCTTCACCTGACATCCCCCAACCACACACACACACACACACACACACACACACACACACACACACTCATTTAGCCACTATTTCATATACAGTATCTATCCCATTGATCCAACTATATCCCTCACACATCTAGTAAAACAATTGCCTCTGCAGGTTCTGAGAGCTACTCTATGTGCTTGTGTGTGGTAATACTCAAGCCTGATAAAAGTTACAAATGAAGCTGCCAGACATTTGTAGGGGACTAGCTTAAGAGCATCTGGTACTGAAGATCATTATAATTTGAAATTGCCAAGCCAAGTATATCCAATGCACCCCCACTGGATAGTTAGTAAAGCCCAAATATTATATACCTCATATCTAGTAAGGATACACAATACGTGTCAGAATGCATGCTAAAAGTCTAGTTGGTGGGAGAAGGAATTTAAGACCCCATTTGCCAAGGGCTGTGGTGGGGGGAAATGACAGTGGTTTAAATTTATGCATTATAGGTTATGAAGTACTTTCAACTTAAAATGATTCCTCTGAGAATGATAATGAAGAAGGCTAAGCAAGTGTGCCATCCCCTTTAAAAAAATAAGGAAACACAGATTGTGGAAAGCCTCACAATTAGTAGAATGGGTCTTAAACTTAGCCCTCCAACCTCTTATATTTTAAGGAAACTAATAGAAAATTCAATCTAAGAATTCAACAATGAACACTCGAAAAGTATGACTGAATAAGTAGCAATCCTAATATCAGCTCTAGGACTACTTGAAGTAGTTTTAACGAGCAAAATTGGTCTATATTTCAGATATTCTGAAGGGGGTGGCTCCAGAATCTCTGTGTAGGAGGCATTAGGGGAAAGAACATGTTTGCAAGAGAGAGCTGAGTGATTTTTCTTAAAACTGCACTTGTATAGCAAGCACACTGCTTTTTGAAGTATACTTATTTATTTGAGGGGGGCACATGGGATGATTTTGCAAGGACAGTGTTACCTATCAGCAGTAATTTGTACACACCTTAACATTCTACATTAATCACCAGGTGAGTGATTATCCTTATAGAACAGTATTTGAGAAATTAAAAAAAAATAAAAAGAGCAAGTACATTTCTCCCTGATTCTAGAAGGTATGTTGTTGTATTCTTCCACATGTAGAAAAAAATAACTGAATGCCTTTTTTCAGGACTGGGGTGGAAGCGGATTGCATCAGGTACAAGGCATGTGGTTTGAGCATGCATAGACTTCCATTTTAATTAGATTTCTGTCCCCAAGCTGCTGGACAGTTTAAGGAAAAATATGCAGGACTCTAGAAAAATCTTTAACTGTTAATTTTGGATCTAAGTTTGTTCTTGTTGCTCATGCTGCCATTGTCCTTGTTCTTATTTTGTTGACACCCTCTTCATTTTTGGCACTGGATTCTCTCTCGATGATCTGTCATTGACATTCATTGATTACTTGCTACCTGGCATGGTTTTGGGGTCAAAAGATCTGAGTTTGAATCCTGGCTCATTCACTGCTTAAATGTATGACCTGGGATAAATTACTTAATTTCTCTAAATTTCAGTTTTCTTATCACCCATATTAGAATCCTATTACCTATTGTGCAGAATTTTTTTGAGGATGAAAGAAAATAGTATTTGTAAAATGCCTGGAAGAAGACAATACAAATGAAGTACAAATTGTTACTTTCTGGAGACTGGGGATTGAGTGAATTATATGGTAAATATTTTATAGTTTTCTTTTATAGCTCCACAGAGGGATGTTTCAGGGATATGCACACTTAAAAAAATAATAAATGCCTCCCACTAACACATATAAAAAAGCGACCTTTAAAAGTAATGACATAAAATACCCTCATATGCTTGGAGAACATAATAATAGCAAATTCTAAAACTATATGTCAAGCACTCTTCTAAGCACTTTTATATGATATATACACACCCCAAACATATTTATTGCATATAGTTTGTATATTAACTAATTCAATTCTAAGAACAAAACTATGCAATGGGTACTATTATCTTACAGATGAAAAGACTAAGTAGAAGGACATTAGTTAAGTAATTAAGTAATTTGCTCAAAGTCATACAGCTAGTAAGTGGCAGAGTCAGGGTTTTAACCTAAAATACTTGTATAGGTTACATGTGAGGTAAAATTACCCTTGAAATCCAGAAAGTCAAGAAGCCAAGTGAATAAGGACTAGGTCGAACTGCTCTCTGAAGATTTTTCCTCAAGCCTCCCAGGCAAGGTAAAAAGTGGAGTGCGGGGTGGCATAATTCAGAGCAGGACTTTGTCATCGCCAGTGTCTGCCAATGCTGGCCTAGTTCACTGTCTAAAAGACTAGGCTGTAGAGCTGTCAGTCCAATTTTATCTTCCTGTTTTGAGATCTCTTTACAATAGAAAAGTAGAAATAAAATTTTTTAAGCAAGGGCTGAGGTGTTATGACCTCGTCACCCAGGTGATGCTGTGACTCATTTTCCTTGTGAAGATTTTGACAGGGAAAATTCACACTTGAGATGTTGAAAACAACCCAGAGACCAGGTTCCCTTTTAATTCTGAAAGCAAAAGAGAAAAATATCAGAGAGCAGGGAAAGCAATACTGGGAGAAGAGGGAGGGAGAGGGCATCAGGTCAGGAACTATGGCTATTTAATAAATGAGAAAAGCAGATGAATGGACTAGAGTCAACCTTATGCATTCTTATCAGAAGGAAGGGATTGAGCAGGTGGTAAAGAGAAGGTTCTGCGATTTATTCCTGAGTGTGAGGATTTAAATTCAGCCTGAGTTCCTGAATTAAACATTGCTTTTTACTTGAACCAACTATTCGTGTTCCTTTTTTTCACAATTGTAGTGAGGTATATAAGGAAACCCCATCTAGAACTGTTTCACGCATGCCGTACAAATTGCTCTGAATCGAATGATACTCAGAAAGTATCATATTATTTATGCAGCATAGGTTGTGGAGAAAATGTATATGTTTGATGACTGTGTAGTTCATGGTACAAAGCAGCAGCACACCTCCCACTTTGTGGTTCTGCAGGGAGAAACACCGAACCCTTTGGAGCCATCAAAGAAAGAAAATTCCCTTTTATTTAGTTTGGAAACCAGGCAAGCAAATTTTACGACTCTTGAATTAATTCCTATGAACCTGCGTTCAGGGATTAATAATAATCTAATCTTTGAATGAAAGAATTTGGCTAAATTGGGTAAAAATAGGGAGATATTGTCTAATTCTGCAGTCTTGAGGTCAATGAAAATAACTTTCTACTTGACATATACAACACTATGAGACATGCCACAACCCTCTCATAAGTGATGTCACATGGCCCAAAGGGATGTACAGAGCACCAAATTAGTGAAACTCCAACAATGGGGAGCTTTACAGATGTGTTGCTGCATAAAAAGTCCTGGAGACTCTCCTGAGTTCAAGAGGTGATGTCACCACTCTTACCAGGATTCTGATTTACTTCTCAGAAACCAAGAATTTCCCATATTACTGTATCAGCTCAGAATTATACCCAAGACTAGGAATAAATGATTCCCAGAAAAATCCAGTAGCCAACTCTCTCTGTGGTTTGCAATTTGACAGTTACTACATAGAAAATTCCCTAATTTCTCCCCAAGCCAAATTTGCAATTCAAAGTCATATCAAAACCCGGTAAGCTGAACAAACCAAAGTTGCCTGATACCTCTGCAGCCTCTGGTAAATGAGTATGCATCTGAGTGACTATGCCATGATATGGAAGATATGGAAGCACCCAAGAAACATACAACAGAAGGTTTAAATCACTGCAGAGAATCAAGGCAATAACAGAAGTAGCTGGTGGCGATAGTGCAGTGGGTATGCAGGGAGGACCTAGACGAAGATTCTCCTTTTACCAAATGTCAGAAACTCTACCTAGAAGTACTATTCTCATATTTTAAGGTTTAAAACTGACAATAAAAGCTAACACTATAACATTCAATCTAAGAAGCTCTCTTCCTTAGTCTGTCTTCCACTCTGTGCAACATATTTTATCACAGTAAGCTAAAATCGAATTGTGGTTTCATTACAATATGCCCTTCCCCTTCCCCCCGACCCCCACCAAAAACAAACTTTAGACATTCCCATTGCTTATCAAGCTAAGAAAATATGCATTGCTTTGGCATTTGAGAAATTCATGAAATGGTCCCTATCTTCCCACTTCTCTTGTGAGCATGCCCTGTGGTTTGCAATTTGACAGCTCCCAGGTAAAAAAAAAAAAAAGCCCTAGTTTCTCCCCAAGCCAAACTTGCGATTCAAAGTCATATTGCTGGGTGCGGTGGCTCACACCTGTAATCCCAGCACTTTGGGAGGCCGAGGCGGGTGGATCACGAGGTCAGGAGATCGAGACCATCCTGGCTAACACAGTGAAACCCCATCTCTACTAAAAATACGAAAAATTAGCCAGGCTTGGTGGCGGGTGCCTGTAGTCCCGGCTACTCGGGAGGCTGAGACAGGAGAACGGCGTGAACCCGGGAGGCAGAGCTTGCAGTGAACAGAGATCACGCCACTGCACTCCAGCCTGGGCGACAGAGCGAGATTCCTCTCAAAAAAACAAAAACAAACAAACAAACAAACAAAAACAAAGTCATATCAAAGCCCGGTGGGCTTGACAAAGCAAAGCCAAGTCAAACCACCCTTTGGGTGACACTGAAGTTTGCCTGCCTTAGAAGAACCTCTGCCCAGTTATATCTTAGCAGCTTGCTCAACTCAGATGCTGCACAAAGGCACTTACAGCTAAATCTAGGCGTCACATGCAGAAGTGCAGGATAGAAGAGAGTGGTGAAAAAAAGCACAGAAAACTTGCTGGGTTCCAGTGGAAGGGCCAGACCAGTGAGCTAGCAGCATGCCAGCTGCACTCCCAGCTGCAAGGGAGTGCAATGAGCTGCAGCTGGGAGGACACTTGTGGAAGGAAAAACAGTTTTTTTTTTAACAATCTGAGTTGAGTAAATTGCTTATGTGTGAAAGAAACATTTTGTGGAACCAAGTTAAATGGTGCTAAGTCACTATACAAAGGATCACACCCTCCAGCTCAAGACACCTGTCTCTAGGGACTATTTCTAACAATCTTAGATCTGGATGAAGACAAGGCAGTGAAAGCTATCGAGATTAGCTAAGGGAGCACAGTGACCTGGCAACAGAAACAAAAAGGGCTTCTTAAATCCCCAGGGCTGTTCCCTCAGCAAGAAGGAAAGGCAAGGAGGACAGATGCTGTCTACAGCCTAGCCGTTCCACATGTGGACCAGCAACATCTGCACCACTAAGGGCAGTTTGGGCTGGCAATGCAGACTGTCACCCCGCCCAGGCCCACTGAACCAATATCTCCATTTTAACAAATCTTTTGCACATTCAATGATGAAATATACTGGCCCACAACACTCAGACTAAACACACCCGTTCTGAGAAATCTACAGTTCTTTTTGAATATCTCTTTAAATGAAAAGTTTCAGACAGTTTCAGAGGTGCCTCTATTATAAAATTCAGAGAAATAATCAGCAGCAAGAAGGCCAGGCCTGACATATCCCAACCTGACTCCAACTTTATGAAAGTCTCTTCACTTCTCTGGATCTGTTTCTTTGTCTGTACATTAAGGGAGTTGACTAGGAGATTTAAGACAAACATTCAAAGTGTAAGTTTGAATTGTGTGCAAATGTATATATGTTCTGTTTCCCTATTTCTCTAGAAAAGAAACATCTAAGAAGTTATCTGTGATCTTATTCTAGTATCTGGAATGGTATTTATAGGTATATAATTATAGGTACATAATTACTGGGAATTTTGGAATATGTATACAACATGAGGATCTCCAAACTGAGAGAGCACCAAACTTCTCCGCTGGCCAGCCTCCCATGTGGCAATACCCTTGACTCTGTACAGTTAAGGATGACTTGACCTGCATGCCTCTATGAACTGTTAAATAAACCACCTCAACAGGAAAGCAGACACCATCCTTTAGGCATCTAATTCCTACCCTCTCAGAATGCAGTAACAAACCCTTCATGATTCAGCAAAAAGCTAAACATTCCCCCAAAGCCTCTGCGATGAAAAAAGTGAAAGATTCTAAAGAAATGTCTCCCTTCACAAGTTTTAAAGCCAAGTTTTTAGCTGTGTTGAAAATCTGAATGGAACTCACTGTCCTAGTTGCGGGGGAGGGGGCTGCTAAAAATAAATAAATAAGATACGCGAATCACTGTTATCCTCTACCACAGTTGGCTTCAACCTATTTAAAAAGAAAAAGAGGTCAGAAAACAGAGAGGGAAGGTTCTAACCCTCATGAGCTTCCTACACTCATCACTGGCAGATGCAGTATTGTCTCTCTACAGCTCGTCTACCCTCGTGGGTCTCTTCAGTCATCAGCTTTTAGGGATGGGGACCCATTCTGACCCTAAGAAGCTTGCTGCCTGACACCTTGCCCCTCTTCCCTTTTCTCTCTCTCTAATATTTTATTTTAATTTTTCGCTCTCCTTTCATGTGGACCTGAAGCCACTTACAGCCTGTGACAAAGCCCATCACATCGTAGTGTTTAATGTTCATTCACATTATTGAATGAATGAACAAATGCATGCTGGTGCCATGTGTTTCCAAGCGAAGAGGAAATCTCACACCAAGTCTAAATTTGGCCACGTCTACAATCATCTCACTTCTTTCCACCTGCTTCGTTTACCCTCCCCCCCGAAAAAGAAACTTGTGTGCAATTGTCTATAGAACCTGCATTTCATAGTGAGAAATGGAAAGTTCAAATGAAAAAGCCTAGAAAACTTTTTAAAAATAGTAATAATCATGAAAGGCCATTGTTTTCCAAATGGGGTCTCTGGCCTTCACTCCTCAGCTGTTTGTTCCTTCCTGTGCTGTCTTCTAAAGACAGAGCATTGCTGTTTAGTTTCCAAAGGTCCGCTTTTGCTGACAAAGAAACCTTCCTGCCGGCCGCTCTTCCACTCCCCTGGCCCTGTTAGAGAAAGAGGCGCAAACAGCCCGAAGAATGCTAAAGTGCTTTTTGCCGCCTCCAAGCAAGGAAAAAGTGGGCGGTACAAGAAGGTTACTTCCAATTGACCCAGCTTTCTCTCCTCTTCCCCACCCGCTGCTTAACCTTGGCTGACCCAGGGCTGCTCAGTCCCCGGAAGCAGGCTGCGGTTGCTGCTGCGGGTGGGAGCTGAAGGCGAGCGGGCCAAGAAGGGCGAAGGAGAGAGCCCGGCGCATCGCCCCTGGGTGCCCTCCTCCCGCGGAGAGACCTGGGGCCCTGGGCTGACGCTTTTGTTCTCCAAGCCCCTGAAAGAAGCAATTATCTCCCAAACAAGAGATTGTGGAGATTCGTTAAAAATGAAAGCGAACTCCCGGGTGTTCGGGGAGCAAGAGGCCTCCCCGGAGGTCTGCGGAGTTGGAGGAGGAGCCCCGCGGACCCCAAGCGCCGTGTCGCTGCCTCTGGGGGGCTCTCCGTGCAGCGGGCGGAGGCCGCGCCACGCCCTGCGGTCCCCAGGGTCTCAGCGGCTGAGGCCACGCCCGCAGCACGGCCGCGAGCCCGCGCGGGTGGGGGCGCAGAGAGCCGGTGACTGACGGCAGCCGGGGAGAAACAAAGAGATGAGATCACACTGCAGAGCCGCCGAGGGAACGCCTAAAGAAGGCAGAAAATGAGACGCGAAAAGGGCCTCATGGAGTCAGAACGCAGAAGGTGGGGTAGGAAGGCCAAGGCAGAGAAACGAAGCCCTGACTTGGAGAAGGGAAACCAGGCAGTTTGTAAGCCCAAGAGTAAGAAGCAAAGTGGGGAGAAGGAAGACAAGCCAGAACCAGCCCTACTTAGGAAAAAAAAACCAAAAAAGTTTGCTTCAACCCTCTCCTCTCCTCTGCTGCCCGTCACGTTGTTCTCTAAACTCTGATGATTTGTGTCAGTTCTTTACATCGTATTTTGTTTTGTTTGAGTCTGGGGTCTAAGGATGGGCTTCAGAGTATCCCTGAAGTAGTGTGCAGTATGTTTGGTTTATATGATTATTTCAGTGTTGAATGCTCATAGCTTTTTTATATGTCTAAGGTATGTAATACCCCGAAGAAGGTTAACTGTTTCTAGGCCGCACCATTGTGGAAAAGAAAAAACAAATAGAAAACAGCTAACATGGAAATGTTACCAGGGATGAGGAATTTAGTAATACCTTGTCTCTTTGGTTAATCAGATTAATACCAGTCATCTAATCAAAATAAACATTTTTGGCTGGGTACGGCGGCTCACGTCTGTAATCCCAGAACTTTGGGAGGCAGAGGTGGGGAGGATTGCTTGAGCTCAGGAGTTCGAGGCTAGCCTGGACAACATAAGGCAATTGTGTCTACAAAATATATTATTTCATATATTATTAATATATGTTACATTGGTTTTGCCTGGGGCTCCTTGAGGCAAGTCACCAAAGGAGCAAGGCCAAATCTCATCACATAAGATTATTAACTAGAAAAGACTAATTTGTTCTAGGGCCATACTTGTACCTGATAGCTTCTCACCCAACTGTAAGTTGATTAAGGGCAGTGACCTTATCTGGTTTGTCATTTTAACAGCAGCTCCTAGCATAGTCCGTGGGACTTAGCAGGTACTGAAAAAATATTTGCGAAAGAAATTAATGAATTAACAAGTGAAAGATAGTCTTCTCCCCATCTCCCCATAAACTGATCAATACCCAAGAGGCCCGGGATCAGTTTCACCATCTGGTGGTAACTATGGGTAGTTGAACAAAATCTCACCCAGTGTTCCTTTCTTCGTCCTGGGGGTGAACACACACCTAAGCAGTCTTTCTCCTTAGACCTAAGCAACTCACCTCTCCTACACTTCCACTTTAGCTCATCGCTTGCTCACATAAGCCACTCATTTCCTCTTTTATTCTCTTTTTATCTGTTTTCTCTTTGCCCTCTCCCCACATGATGTTTCTTCCAACCTTTGCCCATCATAAGAAATCATTTTATCCATCCCTCCTTTCATTTATCTTGAGACTCTCATTATGACACAGAAGTAACTAATACAAAAGAGTTTTGCTATAATTTTCATTCTCAGTACTGTTGAGGGTGGGCTACCATAATACTTGTAGACTAGAAAAGGGAAATTATACGCAAGTACGTGTGTATATAGTTTTTTATATTTTTGCATTTTTAATGAAATTATATATGAGGAAATGGTTCTATTACACTCCGAAGCCCAGTAACATTATTTTCTTCTATGTTTCCATTGCAAACATATAGAATTTCAGTTACATTTTGGATCAATCTGAGTTTTACAGACAGGTCTGGAAATTTTAGGTTATTTCTGTGGGGAAAGCCTTTTATGTTTCAAGTTTAACAATTTCTTTTTGAAATACAATCCATTTTTTACTAGGAAATTGCTTGCTTTTCTAAGAAACTTCTCTAAGGGGCTGTTTCACTGATACACTTTTACTTTCTGAGAACGATGGAAAGATAACATTTCTATTATTACAAAATCGAAGTTTAGGTAGATTACATCATTTTCTCCCAACCAAATTTCAGATTAGCAGAAAAAGTCCTCTTTTACCTAGATCAGGGATTCCCCACCCTCAGTATACATATTTACACCAAAGAGGCTTGTTTAAATCCAATTCATAGGTTCAACTTTCAGAGATGCTGGTCGAGGGAGCCTAGTATAAAGAGCCCAAACTGCATGTTAGTAAATGTGCTAGTGGGCTGCATCTATGGTCCTTAGACCTGAACCACAGTCCTGATTGGAAACAGCTTCCTTGATTTTATATTAAACAATTCAGAATTTTCTATTTCTACCCCATTACCTCTTTACTTTCAAGTCAAGTGGATACCCAGCAGCCGCTATCCCACACAAATGACCAAGAATCACTATTCTAAATTCCAGCATGCATAGACCCACTGAACATAAGACACAAGGCCTAGAAGAGACCATCACACCATGACATTTCATAGCCCTTGAAACTGAGACCAAGAGAGTGAGTCAGTAGAGCCCCAGATAGAGCTGGGGCTACCTCATCACCCCCTGTGTTTTTGTTTATGTCCCCAGGGCACAGAGTATGAGAAGGCTGAATTTTGGACAAAGTAGATAACTGAATTAGATCATTAGTGTCAAAGGCATGCTTTGGCCTAAGGCATGTGGCAGGCCTCAATTTATTATCCTTCCATCCCAGGCCTGAAAAATCCAGATTAACAGACTAGACTGTTCCTGTTGTATTTCAGTCATTCTAACATGCTTTGATCCTCCTGGGTAGTTCGTGTGGAATTATAGAAGCATAGCTTAAAAGAAATAGTTTATACTTTTCTGTCCCAGAAGCAAAATGCCCCAGTTTTGCATAATGTCATTGAATATTATAGTATTCAATGAAAATGCAAATTAACTTTCAGTGTTTTATCACATTTACTAAGTTATGAAATATATATTGGTCTTATGCAAAGTTTTGGTACATGTGAAGGTACTGATAGCCCCAGTTCAGGAGAAATCCCATCCTTCAGGCAGACACTAGATCCCTGTATATAATATTCTGTACATACTATTTGACATGATTTAAGAGAATTTTGCAGAGAGAAGATAGTGAAGCTTATAGTGATATGCATATTTGTAATAACAGACCTGTTCAATAGCTATTCTAATACAATAAGCTGACCTTAGTGTTGTGTTTTAATTTTTAGGGATAATACTGATTACCATATAGTCACATAAATATATACCCTGGGGAAAAGCAAGTATCTACAACAAAATAAATTCATTAGCAGAAAGGATTTCATCTAATTCTTGTGTCCAAGGTAACATTGGCTTTTTAAATAAGGAACCATTGACTCTAGTTTCAGGAACCCTGATCCCTGCCAGACCCTTCAGCAATGAGTTTAGAAATATTCTGGTGTTCACAGATCGAAAATTTGACCACCTTGATGCAACCTGGCCTCACTAAAGTTTAGTCTATACCTAAGTTACACAGATCTCAGAGGTGTGTGGGGCATGAGAAGTTTCCTAATCCTACCCTCTACTCATACATATTTCTTGCCTGGAAAACTTTATAATCAAAGATTTATTACTACTTTCTTTAGATGTGGAGATTTGCCCAGTATCACTAGAAATTTTTAAATATACCAAACCATCTGAATCATTTCCTAGGTGTCTCTGGACTTCCCTGCTAGATGCCCCCCGTGAATTTCCATATTCTTTAAAAATCACCTCACTCAGTAATAGACAGTAATGAGACCTCTGCACAGAATGTTACAGCTGCACTGTACTGTGTACATTTCTGGAAAATGGACTTGGTATTATTTTCCCCCAAGAAACCACCAATTTACACATCTGTTCTTTGCAGCAGTGGATATAATTATCATGATGCTGTTTATAGGAACATGACCCTCTGAAGGGGCACTAGCTAAATATCTGTAAACAGGGATAAACATACTGTGTTTCTTTCTCAAGCAATTTGAGTAATTTTTGCTGGAGGAGAAAAAAAGCCATCTTTTGTCCAGCCAACGTTTGGCAGGATTCGCCTTTCTGAAAGTGTGACTGTGTGTGATTCGTTGTGCCCCAGGAAGGCAGATTTACTGAAGCACTCTTCTGACTCAGGAACATAGTGTTCAATTAAAACAGAGCTTTTAAAAAAAAGACTGCTAAGAAAGGTGAGCTGAAGTAGCATTGGGTCTGCTCATCTTTTCCTCAGATCTTCCTGGGATGAGCTGGGGTCTTTAGTAAGGACCATTTGTATTTTCTAAGTATCTTTCTCCAGAGAAGAACTTTTCAGATAAACTCTCCTCCTTTGCGGTTTCATCTACTGGATAAGTGGACAAGTGTGTGACTTGCTTAAGTTTATATTGAAATTGAGTAGAATAGTCAATATTTGAATCACTTGGTACTTCATTCTGAGCACCAGGCAATTCTGTTTTATATATATTGTGGCCAACTGATAAATTAAAGTGAAAACAATTGAAATATGGATGTATTTTTTACACCACAGCAGAAAACTTCAAATCTGTGAGAGTCAATTGACTTGAATTTTTCAGCCTTGAAAAAGGCAGAATCATCCAATCACAGAAGGAATGTGTAAATGCCTATAGACAGTGGATTTGGTGTTGGGGGAGTGGAAAGGGGAGATGTGGAGACCAATATTTCCTCTCTACTCTTGATCCATGTATTGTAGAAAATGTTCATTAGGGCTAATTTTTTTTTTAATTTCAGATGTTAAATATCTGAAAAGTGATACATGAATCTATCTTTCATAGGAAAATTCATTAAATATGAACAAGGCAAAGTGTTATTTTTAATATAATAGCAATACCTACATTTGGATGGCATTACTCAAACTCTAGGGCCAGTGCAGAGTGAGGACTTCAGAGATAAGGCCCAGAGGCAAGATTAGAAAACCTAACATACAACCAGGATTAAGAAGCATGTGGCATGTCTCTGAACGAGGGATTTGAACTAGATGGTCAAGTCTTTTTCAACTCATTAATTCTAAGAATCTGTAAACTTAGTCTTGGGAGAAATAAAAGTTTTAGGAGGCGCAGGTTACCCTTGGTGAAATAGTGGTATTTCACCCCGCCACACAAAGTAGGGGCAGACACCATTCTTCAAAAACTTTTTCTAGTCTCCTTTGACATTGGAAAAATTACCTTTTTATTTATTTTATTTTGTTTTTAAGACAGAGTCTCACTCTGTCGCCCAGGCTGGAGTGCAGTGGCAAGATCTCAACTCACTGCACCCTCCGCCTCCTAGGTTCAAGTGATTCTTGTGCTTCAGCCTCCCAAGTAGGTGGGATTACAGGCATGCGCCACCACACCCAGCTAATTTTTTTGTAATTTTAGTAGAGACAGGGTTTCACCATGTTGGCAAAGCTGGTCTTGAACTCCTGACTTCAAGTTATCTGCCCCCCTCAGCCTCCCAAAGTGCTGGGATTACAGGTATGAGCCACCGCACCTAGCCCAGTACCTCATATTTTGGGCAAAAAGACAAAAATTTATATGCCCTGTTGTCAGTATTCTCCCAGATGAGGTAGAGAAACCCAGTCTTGAAGTTTTAGCTCTGCCTTCCCTCTCATTTGAGTGTCTGCTTAGTCTAACCTAACTAGATCCTTCAACTTGCCTCATAATTTCTTTGGCTGGTAACTTCCTCTTTCAGAAGTTCTGAATAGCAGAACACATTCAGTTGCAGAGGTATATAAAATTGTACGGAATCCACTGTTAATAAGTTACAGAAATTCTCCTGTCAGTACATTTAGTAGCTACTATTTTGTCTCAAGACGGTGGTCTGAACCAAAATTACACTTCATATCTATTCATTTTCATCAAAATCTGTCAACCCTTTCAAAAATTACCACAGTGAGAAGTATATGCAAAATATTAGGAACTTAGGTGAAACGTCTTAATAAAAATCATTTATTGAACACTGCATAGGCGGCTGGGTGCAGAGGCTCATGCCTGTAGTCCCAGTGCTTTGTGAGGCTGGGGTGGGAGGATCACTTGAACTTAGGAGTTTGAGACCAGCCTGGGCAAGAGCAAGAACCTGTCTCTACAAAAAAGTTTTTAAAAATTAGCTGGGCATGGTGGCACATGCCTGTAGTCTCAGTCACTCGGGAAGCTGAAGTGGGAGAATTGCTTGATCCCAGAAGTTGAGGGTGTGGTGAGTTATGATGGTGCCACCACTGCACTTAAGCCTGGACAACAGAGCAAGACTCAACAGAGCAAGACTCTATCACAAAAAAAAAAAAAAAAAAAAAAAAAAAAAGAATGCTGGATAAGAATCATCAGGAATACAGGAATATAGAGATGTAGAAAATACGATTCTTTCCCTCAAAATAATTACTGTTTAAATATGGTAACAACAAATGAAAGAATTAAATAAATAATACAAAAGATAATATCTTCAGAATTAAATGAGCGGTACAGTTTATTTGTGGAGAATTCAAAGGGAAAGATGGATTTTGGGGAAAGGTGATGGACTCAGTTTCAATGGTAAATGTTTGGAAGGAACTAGACACCCAGTAAGCAACTAGAAGCATCTTAGTACAGGAAATATACACTTGAGTGTCTTTTATGAGAAGGTGATAGTTGAAGCTATGAAGGTGGAAGAAAATTCTAATTAAGAGAATTAAAAATAAAAGATCAGAAAAACTAAGATCATGTTTTTGTATCACCTCTATCTAGAAGACAGAGGAGAAAGTAAAACCAGCTTAGAGGAGGAGAGTAACAATTGAAGAGGGCCAGAACAGGGGCCAAGAATAGAGAGGATCCTAAGAAGTGTTCAGCACAGTCAATGCGAAAATGTTAAGTGAAGGCTGAGAAAGGTCTTTGCAAATATAAATTACAAGGCCACCAAGGACCTCAGGGAAAGCAATTTTAGAACAGTGGGGGAGGGAGGGAAGAACAGATTACATGTGTTTAAGAAAAGCACGGGCCAGATAAAAATGGAGGAAATTACTATATGCTTTTGAGGTGTTTATCAGAAAAAGGAAATAGAGAAACTACAACCTTCTGCTTCTGTGTTGGTAAATAAAATGGAATGCAGCAAGAGAAAAGAAAAATATAGAAATGTACATATGAACTGAGTTTAGGATAGATTTTTTCTCTTGATGCCGAGGTTAGGCATCAAATGAGGGTTCAAAGTTGACTCCCTCTCATCTAGATAACTGGTAGTAAAATTTATCTTGCCAAATGAACACAAAAATTCATGCAACAAATTAAAAACAAATGATATACTTTTCAAACACTAACTTAACTTTTCAAACAACAGGTCTTCCGTATGTGCAGAGTGTGCATGGATGTGTGTGTGTGAGAGAAAGAGGAAGAGAGACTTGACTTCATTTAGCAAGAAACTCATAATGTTGCAGAACCCCACCTCCACTGACCATGCTTCATTTACTGAGGGCCTGTTGGCATATGGGTTCCAAATAATAAAAGGTTTCTCAGTGTGACAGAATTGGATTTTACTTTCTTTATTATTATTATTATTGTTTTTTTCCAGACAGGGTCTCTTCCAGAGTGGAGTGCAATGGTACAATCACAGCTCACTGTGGCCTCCATCTCCTGGATTTAAACAATCCTCCCACCTCAGCCTCCCAAGTAGCTGGGACTACAGAGGCATGCCACAATGCCCAGCTAATTTTTTTATTTTTATTTTTTTGTAGAGACAAGGTCTCGCTATTGAGGCTGGTATGGAACTCCTGGGCTCAAAAAAATCCTCCCACCTTGGCCTTCCAAAGTGCTGAGATTACAGGCATGAGCCACCATGCCTGACCAGATTTTACTTTCCTCCACACACTTTTTCCTTCCCCTTTAATTTTTAGAAGGAGTAAGACTAGAGTAAGAAAAGACTAGAGTATGATTTTAAAAGACTAGAGTATGATTTTAAAAATTATAGTTATATATCAAAGTTATGCTATTAGAGATGATTAGGTTAGCAAGAAAGCACCTGTGGATCTTCCACATGTGCAGATTCTAGTGCTGAGTCTCTAGAGTAGAGCTCAGTGCAATGCCATAAGAACCATAAAGATCTAATGTCCCACTTCAAGTCAAGGATGGAAGTGGGAATGGGGAGAAGGAGGAACAGAGAAATAGGAGATGGTATGGGAGGGAAAGAGAAAAGAAAGGGGGCTCACAGAGAGAGGGGGATCCCAGATGGCTACCCGAAATAAACTCTTAATGGACTGAAAGGTAATTCAGTAGAAAAAATACATCGTTTACATTCTTCTGAAACTTCATGTGTGCACATAATCAGTACTGAGGTTTTCTTTTGGGTTGTGGATATACTATAATGCCCTCGCTGATATTTTGGACCTAACCAAGAGCTTATGCCGGTGTATGCTGGGATGAGTTGCACTCTTTACCATAGAAATACACCCAGCGAAGGGAGCCCTGTGAGGGATGTGAAGAGAAAAATAACCACAGGATGAGAGACAATGTAGCTTCCTGCTAGGTTCCTAAATTAGTCAGTGTTTTCAAGATGGATCCACCTCCAACAAGGCACTCACTCCTGGACGTTTGCAAGCATCATAATCATCTGAGGAGCTTGTGAATGAAGTGTCTCCTCCAGAGATCATTTTAAAAACCTTCTCCAGGTGACACTATGTCAGGTGATCCATAGAACACTTGGGAAAGTGCTGTCTAATTCATTCCTGTCAGTTAGTAAACTCCCCTGAAGGTTTTTCTTTCCCATTTTTCCTCTGAACAGCCAGCCAAAGTTCTTCACTGAGGGAAAAAAGAGGGGAGGGTTTCAGGGTTTCAGGATTTTCTTTTCTTTTCTTTTTCTTTCTTTCTTTCTTTTTTTTTTTTTTTAGAGACAGGGTCTCACTATATTGCTCAGACTGGTCTTGAACTCCTGGCCTCAAGCAATTCTCCTGCTTCACCCTACTGAGTAGCTGGGATTAAAGGTGGGAATCATCACATGCAGCATCAAAATTCAGGATTTTGACAGGATCCCCTGAATATAAACCATCCCATTTCAATACATTTCTTGTCCTCTTCTTTTTCCTTTCTGTTTCAAAGCTGTATCATTTCTCCATAAGGAACTCTGCTGAGATCTAAACATTTGAACTTATCCCTTCTTTACTGTCACATTGATTTCTTCTGTTACCCTTTCAGTCTTCCCTTCTCTATTATTCCCTCTACTTTAAAACAGGTTTCTCCCTACCTTGAAAAATAGCATCTTTTTATTACAATCTCATTTCTCTTTCTCCATTCGACACTGTTATGGTTTGAATGTTTGTGTCTTTTCAAAATTCAAGTTGAAACTTAATCCCTAATGCAATAGTATTAAGAGGTGGGGCCTTTCGGAGGTGATTAGGTCAAGAGGTCTCAGCAAATGTCCTCATAAAAAGGCTTGAGAAAGTGAATTTATTCCTTGTTGCCCTTCTGCCATGTGAGGATGCAACAGTAAAGCACCATCTTGGAGACAGAGACCAGGCCTTTACTAGACACCAAACCTGTTGGTGCCTGGATCAGCATACAGAACTGTGAGAAATAAATTTCTGTTACTAATAACCAATCTGTGATTTTTTTTTGTAGTAGCAGGAATTGACTGAGAGGAATACCAAATTTCTAGATTTGTGGTCTATGCCAGTTATCTGTATTTCTTCTACTTCAACCTTCTTCTAAGCCTTTAAACTCTGGCTTTCATCCTCACTACTCAACTAAACTACCCACTCAGAGATTATCAATGGTCTCTTTATTCCTATATTCAATGGTCTATTCTCCATTGTCATCCTTCTTAATCACTCTGATTTAATAGTACTGACCATTTATTTTAGAGCTTTCTTTTTGTTGGCTTCCCTGATCCCATATGCTTTTACTAACTGCTCTTTCTTTTTCTCTGAATGAAGTATCTTCTGCCACTGAAGGGTGAGTAAGCCCTTCTCTTAGCTCTTTTCTTTCTAACCCTTCCTCAACTAATGCCACGAAGATGAATAAGCTCTCAATCAGCCTTTGAGTCATGTGCCCCCTGTACCCTCTGCCTCCACTTCTGGACCTTCAATTAGTGATTTCTTTCTGGATGTTTTCCTCATGCTGGCCATGCTGGAAATAAAAATCATTGTCTTCCTCACCAAATCAGTTCTTCCTTTTATCAGTTCTGCCAATAGCCCATCCATTCCAGTAAATCTAAGCTAGAAATCTTATAATCATATTTATTTCTCCACACATCATAGGGCAAGTTAGGGGGATTCTCCTGGCTTATAGGGTGCAGTGGGTTTGAAATAGGACAATGGAGTTCAATGCTGAAGATGGTGTCCAAAGCTAGAGAACAGAGCAGGACAAAGAGCCCAGTGGACAGAGGAGTCCCAGTCTCAGAGGCGAGGACAGCATATCAGATAGGGTCTACCTGAAGGAGTCAGAAGCAGAAAAGAAGGTTGAGGTATACAGCCAGCAGTCCAAGAATTAGGGAAATAAAAATGGAATGCAAGTAGATCTGCAGAAGGGCCCACAGTATTGCGTAAAAGAAGGACTACTTCCATGACGAGCCTTGTCACACTGTCATACAGCCTAGACTACAAAACAACTGGTTAGCCAAATTGAAAGGATCATGGACCACATGTATTGGCAGAGACTTTTCTTCATGTGTCATAGGCACTGAAAATGACCCATTTTTCTTCAAAAAGTCTGCAATTCATTTTACATTTAAATTTCAATTATGAACACTCTAGTCCATGGTTTTATTTTCTCTTCTATATACGTGTTTCAAACAATAACCTCTTAACTTGCTTCCTGCCTCCAGTCTTCCATGCAATCCTGCATGCATAGGTGCCATAAATGCTTTTTACATCACTTTGCTCCCCTAGCCAAAAGCTGCTAATGGCACAAAGTTCTTGCCCTATCAGGCCGTTTTTTTTTTTTGTTTTTTTGTTTTGTTTTGTTTTTGTTTTTGTTTTTGTTGGCTATGGTTTATCTTACAGGCTCATTTTCCCTCCCCCCTAATTCTTACCATCAAACACTCTCCACTATTTTTTAGGATCGTCCCCTCAAGGCTCCATGACCATGCCCCATGTTATCCCACTTCTCTGGAATGCCTTCTACTCTCCCTTCATACTGGGCACTCTCCTAGTTTTTTCCCTTTTTAAAGCTTTCAGTTTCCCTTGCCTCCTCCTGTGAGTCCTGAGCTCTTATAGTACTTGTATATTTTAATTACAAACTGCCTTGTTTTGTTATTTTTGTGAGGGTTATTCCTTAATTTGTACATATTTCTTAAATATCAACCTTCTTTCTTCTCTGTTTTAGTTCCCACTGCTATTAGAAAACAAAATAAACATAAACTGGTTAACTGTAGTTAACAAGAGAAATTTATTTCTCACCATTCCAGAGGATGGGAAGTCCAAGATCAAAGTGCTGGCAGATTTGGTGTCTAGTGAGGGCCTGCCTTCTGTATAATAGACCGAGCCTTCTCATGTTCTCACATGGCAGAAGGGTCAAGCAAGGAAGCTCTATGGGGTCTCTTTAAAAGGGCACTAATCCCATTCATAAGGGCTTCACTCTCATGACCTAATCACCTTCCAAAGGCCCCACCTCCTAATACTATCTCAGTGATAGTAATCCCAGATGTAATCCTCAGATGAGGATTTCAACAGAGGAAATGTGAGGGGAACTAACATTCAAATCATAGCACCCTCCTTGTTGGTGGGGTTTTGTATCCCTCTGCCCCCATCACAATGTCCCATACTACCTCTAATAGACTTTGGTTCATTGTAGGGGTTCAGGAAATACATGTTGGTTGTTTGGTTTCCTGAAAAGAGATACTTAATATATAAAGTGAAGTGAGAAGAGGGTTTCTGACACATCTTTTATATTAAGACTCATTTGCAATATGGTACCAAATCGCAAATGAGTCTTAATAGAGAGGTCTCTTGTGGTTGGGGTCCATTCTAATTATGTCTTCTCCATAAGAAATGACAATCTACTAACTTAGAGCACTGTAAATATTTCTGAGGGTTTATATTTAATTCAAGATATCCGAAGGGCTTTCCCTCTTTTGTCTCAGGTTACTTCTGCTTTCCTCTATTTCTTCAGTATGATTTGAAGTTCTCTCTCTTTTTCTCTTTCATTAGAGCCCTTCTGAACCCCCACCTATCCTGTTAGGCAATATTGCCTATTAGGCAATTATCCCTGAATCCTTGCCATATCAACAAGATGAACCGTGCAAAGTTTAAATGCTATAATCTTGAGGTCTTATTCTTCAGCTACTATCCTTGACCAAAAGGCACTGGTTAATTGAGCCTTTCTGGGATCCAATAAATAGAAAAAAATTTCTAGCACAGTAGTAATTAGTTGTATAAGCAAAGCAAACCTAGGAAATGACAGCTTTGGAAGTTTCCACTGTGCATATAAACAGTTGGCATAGGCAGAGTTGCTTGCAGGAAAAAAAAATCTTTATAGGTCACAAATGTTGGACAGATTGGTGGCCTAGGCCAGACAATCTGTTTATCTAAGGCTGACTTACCCTTGGCACTGAGTTTCTGGATCCTGACAGTGAAAGAATAATAGGAGATTCTTAGATCATGGTTTAAGAATAATCTTGGCAAGAGGCATAATCCAATATGGTTTAGTTATAGGAGTATATTTTAAATTTTAAAACTTAGTCCAACACTTAATTTTTTAAAATTATTACTAAATCAAAGTTCCAATAAGTGACAATTGACCATTATCTTAAACCCAAACTAGAAATCTAAAAAATCCCTAAAATTCCGGAGTTAAGAGTTTTGTGTCTGCATATGTTTGCATGCTACTTTACTTTTTATTTTGTGAGACCTTGAAATGCCTTCCATCTTGCCACAGCCAATGATGAAGAGCCTTAAGAAATATTTTTCTGGGGATATTTCTAAGCATTTTACAAATATAGTTATTTCATTTTAACTCTTAAGATTTATTCCAATGCTTGATTTGTGTATGCAAACAAAACTAAACTGAGTTAAGTTTTCATTCAATAGAAAGAGTGTTCTAAAATATATTAAGGGGTTTGGGGACTTTTAGATCATTTTTGGGTTTTTTTTCCACCAAGATACTAGTATTTACTAGGTTACAAATATGAAATTTTAGTATTTTGCTTCCATCTCTGGATAAGCATAGAGAATGACCAGGTACAATGAAGTTTGACAGAAGCCAAAACAAGAAGATAAGGTGAAAGAGTTCACTAAGTTAACTGTTCAGCACTTCCACTCTGATCCTTCTTTGGTCTCTACATCTGACTTTTTGAATAATGAGGGGTAAAGAAGAGTTGGTTGGGCCTCACTACTTCAAGTGAAGGCTAATTTGCTTTCACTCACTTGAGGAGTATTGTATTAAATGAGTAGCATCAACACAAAAAATATTGGAGATACTGCACCAAAGCCTGAACTCCAACCTAGCAAGGATGTCACGGAAAATAATTAATGAATCCTGTAAAGGGAATAGACATATCTGATTCATATATTTACCCTATATCCTTTAATTTATAGTGGGACTAAATAAAGATTTCCTAATGAATAAATGAATAACTCATAGATAAGATGCCTTCTAAATTTCTTCTAACTCTTGAGATACCATGAAAGCAATAGATGATCTATTGATAAACAAAAATGATATAGGGGCCAACAATACGTACATTTTAAAGTTGTTTCTCCCTGGAGAAAGATAAAAGATTGAATAGCTTCTTTAGGCTCCCTGCCTCAACAAGACTGTTAGATGGATTCAGACATGCTGAAGTTACCTTACATTAGCAGAGCTATGACCTCACTTCTATCCGAAATGAAACCTCTGATGATCCAGCTTTGAGAATGCCAGGGGCATTGGGTTTTGATTTGAGATCAGGTTATAAGCACAGAACCCAGTGTCTGACATTGTGCCACTTGCCATTATACATTTTATCCTTCAATTCCCACAAATCAAATTTTCTTCTGGAATGTTTTCAGAGATTCATTTTTAAAAATTTCTCTATTTATAAATCACTGATGCTGAGAAAAGAAATATGCAGCATTTTAGCTACAACCACAACTATGTGGATTCACAGCATACTCAGTAACCATAAAGGATTTTTCTTTTTGCCTTGAAACTTAAATCTTTTCTAGAAGATCTTGCTATTTTTATCTTGGAATGTTTTTGCCATGTTGACTCTTTGAAGATTAACTGGGAATGGAAATAGGGTGTGGAATGGATGCTCTGTCTTATTCAGTGCTTAGAATGCTTCACGGTGACTGACTTATTGCTACAGGTTTGTTATCCTTTTATCAACCAGTGTTTGAACTCCTCCCACTCTCACCCATTCATCACCCTGATAGTCCTGTCCAAAAACTATCAGGTAAAATACAATAATCACTCAAAGCCACATGGTGCCAGTGGCAAAGCAAGCATTTCCCCTACAGTGCCTGCAATAAATAAATAAATAATACAGTTACACTTGACAATTTAATGAGTATAAATTTACCACAGCAGGACAATCCTCCCCAAATATTTAAACAATTAAAATATAAAAGGAGAAATAAATAGGCATTTTGTAGTGGTGAGCAGGACCAAATTCTTCTTTCATCACTCTTGGGAAATCCGCTGCATCACATACCTTAGACTGACAGCTAGGTTGAAAGAAATATATGGGTTACTGCTGGTTCAGATTAAGGAAAAGCAATCAGGAAGGAAGTGGAGGCAGGTGGAAATGGATGCATTAGCTGTAGCACGTGTTTAGCTTATTATTACTTCTGAATATAATTTAAGTGCATTCATATATTCATTCAATAAATATTTGTTGAGTACCTCATATGTACCAGGCACTGTACTAGGTTCCAGGAAATATAAGTCACCAAAAGAGTAACGGAGCCCTCATGGAGTTTACGTACCACTGGTGCCAGCAGATTGTAATAAGTATCTTGAGTAGATACAAGGGCTGGAGAAAATAAAATGAAAGAGAACAAAAGGGGACAGATAAGGAGTGTTAGGGTGGGGTGCCATTTTACATAGGGTAATGAGAGAACTCCTTGATAAGATGTAAACAGGTGAGTTTGAGTAGAATCCTGAAGAGGTAAGGAAGCTACTCGTGAATATGTTGCAACAAAGTATTTTAGGCAGACAGAACAGTGAGTGCAAATCTCCCAGGCTATTGCAATAATCCAGGTGAAAAATATTAGCAGCTTGCTCCTGATTTCTGACTACAGGGTTACATCAGTAAGATTTTTCAGTGCAAGCAATAGAACCTGAAATGGATTAGGATAATATCAGAGAGCTCACAGTATTAATGGCAAGGCTAGAGAAACAGGCTCAAAAATTAGGCAGCAACCAAGTGAAAGTGGACCCAGGAAACACAGTCAAGGCAAAACCACCAACTGATTAGAGCATGGGTCTGTAGATACCATAGCCACAGACCGTGGATACCACCATCACTGAGGATAATTTGTAATTGCCATTGCATCTTTACGTCATTCCTTGAAGATAAAAAGTGACTGAGTCTAGGTATTGAGATGTCTACATTTCAGCTCCTTGCAAATGATGAGCCTCTCTGGTTTCTAAGTAGAGGCAGCCTGAAATTTTTATTCAACCTTTATTAGCCACATCTGTAAGATAAGGCTAATTACACCTCTGAGTTCCAAGACTGCAAGAAACAATGTATATTAGCATTAAAGAGTGTTGAGAGCATAGGACATGCAAAGCTTAAGTCAGTGGCATTCATAACTCATTTCTCAGTTAATCAATTGTATTTTCATTGAACTTCAGATGTGTATGCATACATTCACACAAACACACACATATACCCCTAAAATCCAGAAACTAGTCCTTTAAGAATCACCACAAAAAGCTATTTAGGTATATGACTCACTTAATGTAGATAAAATATCATTATCAACAACAGCATCAACAATAACAAGTAATAACTAATGTTAAGTGCTTACTATGTGGCAGGCATAGTTATAAATATTAACATTTAATTCTTAAAAATCTTTTGGAGTTGTGGTACTTAAGTCTTTAGATCTATGGATGTTCTGTTATTTACAAAATTTATCCCCCAAACCTCCAAGGCTTGTTGATAGTCACATCTATACAAGAAGAAACATTAGTGTAAGCCTATACTGGGAAATATTCTTGAACAATTAGGAAAATACTACCTGAGATTAAGTAAAATTATTTAAGAGCACATTCTAGAATACAGACTTTTAAATCGACACACATATGTCTACCACACTATACTATGAGCTAATTTAGGGTAAAGAGTGTTTCTTTAAAAAAAAAAAAAAATTCTGTATTTCCAGTACCCAGCATAGTTCTTGGCTCATGGTAGATTATTAATAAATGTTTTTTGAATGAATAAAGGATTGTAATATAATATTAGAGGAGATATTGTGTCTAAAATTGGTCTTGATGATAAAGCCTAATTGAAAAATAAGATGAGTAAGAGTCAAAAGGTGGAAAACAAAAAAATAACTTCTAAGTCTTCATTTGTAAAAGAGCCCTGTTTACTCCTGAATCACATAAATGCTGAGTTAACTTTAGAAAATTTAGGCATATATACATCTAGAAATTGGGAGTATGGTCTTCTTTCACCCCTCTGAAAAGAGTAGCACTGACATGGGAAGAAATTCCATCTTAGCCCTTTCGAGTTGAATGGCCTTGAGCATAAAACCTCCTAACATCTGCACCATGAAGGACTGGCTGTAGATCAGTGTTTCAAAATCTGCTCCCCAGGCTTCAACAGGGGGTTTCAGAGGAGACAGGAGGGAGCGGACTAGACAGATCTCTGGGCCACCAAACTCTGCTTCAGCCGCAAGAACATCTTTTTATCTGTTTTACATTCTTGGATTCTGAGAAATATTTCAATCTGGGTCAAAAAGATGCTGTGGTTAAATAAATACAAGATAAAAGAAAAACAAACTAGATAATTCCTAAGCTCTCTTTAGCTCTACTAGTCAATGATAATTATCACCATCAGGTATAAAGACAAAGAAGGTGACAACTTTTCCTTGGGAGCTTGAATAAAAATTTAGTAGCTTTAACTGTGGACCCAGTATGTGCAAGCATTGCATAGTGCCTTGTGAAATTGAAAACAGAGGAAATCTCAGTAATGAGCCTTTTAGCAGTCTCTAGGGAAACAGGAAAGCACCGTGTGTGTGTGTGTGTGTGTGTGTGTGTGTGTGAATATATATATGTATAATATATGCACAAAACATATAAATGCACTCTTTCTCTCTCTATATATATATATAGTGTCTGTGTGTATATATATGCACACCCCTATGTGTGTATGTATACACACACACACACAAACTCCTATGTGTGTATGTACACACATACACGTGCACGCACACACATAGACAATATGAGAAAAGGGGAATTGCTAAGGAGGTTACTATAGTGAGTGCCATATGGAACCAGATAGGGAATGAGGAAATGTTTAAAATGATTTTATGAAGAAGGTGATTTTTCAACAGAATTTTTGAAGGCAGAATGTGGTTTGGTAGAATGGAGGAAAAAACATTTCAGGGCCAGGTGTGGTAGCTCTCACCTGTAATCCCAGCACTTTGGAAGGCCAAGGCAGGAGGATTGCTTGAGCCCAGGAGCTCGAGACCAGTCTGGGCAACATAGTAAAACCTCATTGAAAAAAAAAAAAGAAAAAAAAAAACAGAATAAAGCAAGAAAGAGAGAAAGAGAAATAGAAGAAAGAAGAAGGAAGGAAGGAAGGGAAGGAGGGAGGGAGGGAGAAAGAAAGAGAAGGAAAAAAAGAAGGAAAGAAAGAAAAAGAAAAAAGAGAAAGAAAGAGAATTTCACGTGGAGAAAATAGTACCAGTTTTATTGTTAGGTGGTAATAAAAGCTCATACATAGGGAGAGTGTCCGGTAAACGTCATTATTTCTTAATCTAATCTCCCATTTTCTTGTGCCAACATAGACCTGACCTCTTGACCCTTCACTGGAATCCAAGGGAAACCCCTTTCTTAGTTCCAGAGAATTTGGAAGAAATTTGGTTTAATCAGAGTAACGGAGACTTGTTGGGTATTCTTGGAATGTCGTATAATTACTGGCAATTTGAATTTACAGTGGACTGACACTGCAGTGTCTCTGGGTGTACATCAATTGAGGAGTCCAGAGCTTTGAGGTAGAAATGGTTTTCCACTCTGTCAACTATAGTTTTGTTGAGAAAACAGCCTAATAGTAAAGCCTGTGAAAACTGGAAGCAAAGGAATGTATGACCAGATAAGTGGAATAGCAAATGAATTATCTTCTAGAAAAGGCTCTAAGTGGTTTTACCCATGACTGGCGGGTCTCTCAAAATTCTACCATATCCCACCAAATCAATGTCTTCAATACTGAATACTTGCCTGTCTTACCTGCTTTCTTGGCAACCCAAACTACTCATGCATCTTCTTCACCTTCGACATAATTAAAAATTTTAAAGTACAATGGAAAAAAAGTGACATATTTTTTCAGCTAAAGTGTACTTCATCTTTCTTTCCTTATGATCATCCATTCTCTAAACAGAAAAATTATATTCTTTTGGTCCTTCCTAAATTTTATTTTTGAGTGAACACTATCCCAACCTACAAGTTAGATGTATTTCCAAAGTTTATTTTCCAAGTTACCAGTTTGAAACTTAGACTAACATTTCCTGAAAAAAATAAATCCAAGAGAGTGTTTAAGTTTCCCATCTAGACCCCAAAGAGGTATATTTAATTTCTATGTTATTTAGCTTCACTTCAGAAAGATCTAGCTACCTAATGTTCATGGACCATTCTTTTCCCTTCTTGATTCTCTTAAATATTCTTGCAAAGGGAACAGATTTAATTGGAGATATTTTTCCCTCACCAGAATTATAAGGGGAAGCCCATTCCTTCCCAGATCCGTCCCCCAGGAATTATATTTTTGTGTGTAGGAGACATAAGTTAGGGTTGAGAAGTCATTGATTTTCTGGCCGTTTGTAGTTTTATTTCCCTTTAGGAAAATCTACTAGCATTTTTCCTTTGTTTATTGGTTTGGGGATAGATAGAATAACATCAGACAGATGGATACTTCCCCCATAATAAAGGGGGACAAGAAAAAATAGCAACAACTAAGCGTTATTGTACATAGTTTTTTAACTAGAGAAGGTAAGAGACAGTGTACATGTAACTATAAATTATATTATTGACAAAGGGGAAGATCTGAAACCTCACCAGGATTCCTGTGGGAGGAGTACCAGAAGATACAAGCTTTAAATGTGAGGAAAGGCTAACTGTTCAGCACCAAGCTTAGGAAGCAGAATAATTGGCTAAAATGATATAGCTGTATATTTTACAGTGAGTACTCATCCTTAGCCCAGATATTAAGAAGTTTATAGTGTCAAGGACGGCTATCTTTCTGACTACACTAAAGTATCTCTCTATAAAATGGTGACCATTATTTGCTGAAGCAACCAGCTGGTATCACTTGGGTGAAATCCAAGTCTGTATGGTCTTAGCTCTGTGTGAAATATCTATTAGCTGCCCAATTATGGACTGTGCCAGAAGTGAACAGTTTCCATGACTGATCATTGTAAGCTGGCCAACCTTTGCCTTAGTCCTAACCAAATTTTGCCATCTCATACTACTCACTGGACACTGGTATTTGTTCATTTTATAGGCTGCACTTATTCAACTCAAATTTAATGAGAAACCATAGTGTGCAAAGCATTCAACTAGATCTATACATGGACATAACTCCTACCTGAAAGGAGCTCCTGGTATAGCAAAAGAGATAGACATATACATGAATACGTATAATAAAGTCTATTGAATGTTGTAATACAGGTATGTACTAGACATAAGGCACAAAACGAAGAATAATTGTATTAGGCTGGAGGATCAGAGAGTCTCCATAAAGAAGAAAATAACTGCAGCCACATATTTCCTGTTTATTATCACGGAAATAAACAGGAAATGTGTCATGTAGAAAAGGAGAGGAAGGAAGACATTACAGACAAAAGGAACAGTGTTTAGAAAGAGAGAAAGGATGAAATAATATGGACCATTCCATGAAATAACACAATTGCAATAGAGTCTGGGATGTGAAGAGGGGTGGGTTTTAAAGCTTGAAGAGATAGGCAGTGACCAGAATATTGAAAAGTAAATACTTTTTAAAAAAAATCAGATTGAGAGCATCCCAAAAAGATAAAAAAAAAAAAAAGTGTGATGTGTTAGAGAGTGACTTGGACACCACTCAGATGGAAAGGCTTCTCAAGTAAAGAGCCAGAGAAAGAGTATTCTGTGCACAGGGAGCAACACATGCAAAGGCCTTGAAGTGTGAACATGTTTTATGTGTTTTAAAAACTAAAAAGAGGCCAACAGACTTGGTGACCAAGAGGCGCATGGTTGTTAAGCAGAAACTAGAAAAGGAGGCAAAGCCTGGATAATGTAGGATTTCTTAGGCCTTGTATTAAGTTTGGTTTTGATTCTACGTGGAATGGGATGCTATCAAAGATTTTTAAATAGGGGAGATACACAATCTTATAGACGCTTTTCAAAATAGCACTCTGGCTGCTGAGGGAAAGATTGTAAAGGGTTGAGGGTAGAAGAAGTTGATTATAGGGGTAGAGTATTGCATTAGTCTCCATGAAAAATGGCTGGGTTAGAGCTGACTGGAGATGGAGTGGATAGAGTCAAGACATATTTCTTTCTTTTGTTTATTTATATTTTTACTATGCCCTCATCTTGCATGAATGACATATTTTTGAGAGGAGGAAAGAAAGGAAGGAATGAAAAGGTTTTTTATTTATTTGGTTTTTACTTATAGAAACCAGAGAAAGAACAGTAGCATCCAATGAAAAAAAGAAGATATAAGGGTTCTGTTTCTGAATTACATGACTGGATAAGAAAGGGGAAGAGATTTGGGAGCAAGACATGGTGACTTACTTTTAAGACCTGTTGAGATTGGGGTTCCTGCGGGTCAGCAAAATATTTCCAGTAGACAGTAAGATATAAAGCTCTAGAGCCAAGGAAGTAGGTTTGGATGGAGAGCCTGGAGAATTTGAGATTCACTAGTCCAAGTGAGACTTATGGGCACAAATTAGATTATTCACAGAACTTGTGTTGAGTAAGAACATGCAAGTATAAGGACAAAACGCTGAATAACACCAACTTTTCAGAGGTTGGTAGAAAAGAGAAGCCAAGCATGGGAAAAAAGTGCAACCAAAGGTGTAGGTGGGAAAAGCCAGCAGTATCAAGTGTTATGAAAGCCAAGAAAATAAAGAGATTCAAGAGGCAAGGTATGTTTCATGATGTCAAATGTCCCAGAGAGGTAATGCAAGATGGTTCCACCTGTCTTTCTGAGAAATTATTTGGCTTGTACATTCCCTTAGAGTCTAATACAGAGCTTATCACAGAGTAGATACAATATGTGTTTCTTGAGTCATGCACTGTACTGGATATCTTACCCTTAAAGAGTTTGCAAACTACTTGGCAGAATCAGGTACATAAAAACGCAAATGGATGGTTAAGGCTCTGCTTGATGAATGCCAAAGCAAAGGACAGGTAGTATGTGCTGCAAAAGATCTAAGAGGCAAAACAGGTCATGGAGAACTGTGTTAGTCAGGAAAGCCCTCACAAATGAGATAAGTCTTGATTCAGGGCCCGGAGTTTAGGCAAGATTGAGCTAGGCCCAAAAGGGGACTTTTCAAGTAGTGGCGGTAACAATGAACAAAATTATAGGAAAATTAATACTTAAATTTATACTAAGTCTGGGTGGGACAGAATATCCAAGTAAAAGAGGCATTTTGCTATAGAACATGTTTGTTAAAAGTTGGAAAGCCTTAGAGATGATTTCATTCAATACTTTCGTTTTACGTAAAAGGAAATGACAACTGAGAGAGACTAAATTTATTTAAATTCACAAGCCTAGTCAATGCCAGAGCCACTAGGAGATAAGACAAGAATAGGAAATTGGTAATAGATCCTAAGGAGCCTTGAAACACAACCATAAGTAAATAAATTAGAATTAACCTTGTAAACAAAGAGAAACCATTGAAATTTGGGGAAAGGGGGGATTAAACGTAAGATTAGCCAGCAGGCAATATGTAGAGAATTTTGGTAACTGTCCAGCCTTTTTTCACCTGGAGTTTCTCATCTGAAACACAGAACATGAAAATGAGTGACTATTTTCTCTTCTTCCAAGGATGGTATATAACTGGTACCCATCTAGATGCACAAGAGAGGGATTAACTCATTACATACATATGGACATTAGGGCCTTAGGGCTTTAAGGGTTGGGTTTGGCTCTCTTCTGGAATGCTGGTTAAGAAAGACTGGCAGAAGATGAAAAGAGCATATGTGAAATACATTACAAAAAGAATTTGGTAACTGATAGTATGACTTTTATAACAGAAGGAGAGTAATCAATTATTTCTGTTATGAGCTGGGAAACTGAGAATGTGCTGGGATCTCTCAAAGATATTGTTAAGAGTAGGGGAGTAGAAAGTCTAATTTGCAAAGAAGATAGTTAGTTCAACATGACACTTTTTGAGGGAACCACAAAGAGTAAAAGGAAAAATAATATTTTTAATATTTGGAGACCTTGAATAATGGAAAGTTAATTTTCCTATTGGTATTCTTATGATTCTCATGGTTTGATTCTTTACAGATGGAGTTTTACTATATATCCAGGTTGAGCAAAAGTAACAATTTTGGTAAGATATGATTAATAAAATAGACTTAAGTATGTACACAAACCAATCAGTTTCCAATGACACGGGAATGATAATGCAGGAGAACGGTAGAAGCTTGCAGGAAAACCATTCATTGCTGAAAGATTTGGTCTAGCATAAGATATGGCAACAACCATGACAGCAAAATTGGCAGTTCTCTTTTTAGCTAAGAATCAATAGTTTCGTTCCACTAAGTGAAGATAAAAACTGAATTGAGTCCTAAGTTTGGTTATGCATATTTAAGCATACTAGTGCTCACACTTATTTTTTTTTTTTTCTTTTCATACCTAGTCCTGCAGAGTACTTCTTGGATTCTTTTCTGAATACTGTTTCTCTTGGGCTTATTGTGTTTTCCAGATGATGTTCAGAAGTGAGGTCTGAGCCATCTGTGGTCATTAACGATCCCATGACAGTTTTTACTAGAAGGTTATGGCCCAATTCCAAACTGAGTAATTTTATTTTATAACTCTAGTCTCCTTCTCCCTTTTCAGTTATAGAAATCCTCATTTCCTCCTCCATACTGGTTTCACTCAAGAGGTGTAAGGTACAAAGTTTAAGATGGAAGAAAGAATGTGTAAGCAAGGAACTCTTGTCCTTAGGTTTTCTATACAGTTCTCCAGTTAATTGTCCAACATTATGGATGCACAAATCTGGTTGAGTTATCAAAAAGCTACCACCTTGTGTCTTTCAACCAAAGGCAATCAAAGCCCTGAGGCACACTGAAGAGGATTATCGTGAAAGACTTTTTCAAATGAATATTTAATACCAACCTGAGTTCTCCAGAGTAACTTTCCCAGGTGATAGAGAAAACAATTTCCTTCTCTTTTATTAGGATAAACAAGTCCTTGAGAGTTAAGGAAATATTGCAGATGTTGCATTTCAGGAAAAAAAAATGACGTTTGAATAGATCAAACTCCCAGTTTGGATTTTACTAAAGAAAGAATTGGTGTTTTTTAAGTAAGACAATATCATTCTCCCTTATGAAGTCTCTTATTCCTTCCCATCTCTCAAATAAAATAATACTTTTTAAAATTGATTTAAAGACCGAAATGCAATGTCCATGCAAAATATAACTCAATGCTTATTCCTTTCCCCACTGGAATGTTAGTAAGAGTCTGGACAACCAAAGTGGGCTACCCTCAGTACAACATGGACAAATAAATCTAACTGCAAGTTAATTATTTAGAAACTGGGGAATTTTTATTATTTATTTATTTATTTATTTATTTTGAGACAGAGTCTCGCTCTGTCACCCAGGCTGGAGTGCAGTGGTGTGATCAGAGCTCACTGCAGCCTATACCTCCTAGGCTGAAGAGATCCTTCCTCATCAGCCTTCAGAGTAGTTGGGACTACAGGTATGTACCACCACACCCAGCTAATTTTTTTATTTTTTGTAGAAACAAGGTCTCACTATGTTTCCCAGGCTGGTCTCGAACTCCTGAGTAATCTTCCAGCCTCAGCCTCCCGAATTTCTGGGATTACAAGCATGAGCCACCATATCCAGTCAATTTTTTTCTTTCTTTCCTTTTTAGGTAAATAATGAGACAATTGCCTCTATTAAAATTTGTGTAGACCTGTAGAATAAATCCCTTGGAAACAGCTGTTATAGGAACTAGTTTGGCCATTAAGAGGAATTTAATTCTCAGCTTATATTCCAAGCAGATAAATTGGTTCCGGAATCAAAGCAAAGTAAGAATAGGAAGAGGATATGCATCCTCACAGGTTCCAGTCAAGCCTAGTTATGCTGACTAAGAAGTTCTGCAGCCACTTAATAAAAGCAACCGATTTCTGAGTTTGCTTAACCTTTGGAGATCATTTTGTTTATTTTTTTTCTTTGCCTCATCTAGCTCTTTTATCTAGTCATTAATGAAAGGATATTAGGGTCTTCCCAACTTTCATTTTAAAATAACATTTTTGAATAGTTATTGGAACTGGAATTATAAATAATGGATGTAAGGCTAATTACCAATATTCTACATTTAGAGCAAATATTTTACAAAGTGCCAATTTGCTAAAAATAGATAAATGTGGTTATTATTGCTGGAATTAATTCAAGAACATTCAAAATGAGATGACTAATGTCAAGGAGTAGCATTTCTGTAATATAAATCCAATTGAGCTGTTTTACACCCATTATTGTCCAATCTTTTTGCAGGAACTAGATCTTACAACCTGAAAAAGAGACGTTAGAGCAAAGCTACACCATTCCAAATTAGCAAGAATATATGGTAGCTAGTATGTCCTCCTAGACAGGTGGCACCTGCCAGAGGTAAGCCTCAGGAGGATGGTGAAAACCCAGTGTCTGTCATCTCCACACTGAAACTGGTACGGAGATTTGCTCTGACCTTTCTTTTTTAGGTGTATAAGCTCATAGGTTCAGTTATCTGTGTGGTTACTACTTCCTTTTAGAGCCATCAGTGATAATAACCCTACCAATAATATGTAATACAGACCAAATTGAAAATAACCAAAAGGAAAAATGAATAGTCCACCACACTTGAGATAAGTTCCTTCTGACTCGGGTAGCTAACCCACATGTGGACTATGTGGACATATAGGTATATATGCAGGAGACTAATTCTCAACCAACTTACCCTCTCACTAGATTTACAAGTGTGGGCTTACCAAAATTGTCTCTAACCTATGTCACCCAGCCCTTTTTCCAGTCAGAGATATCGGCCCTGTGGCAGTTGCTAGGTGACCCAAGCAGGACCAATAAAATTCATTCATCCTCATTCTCTCTCTCTCTGTCTCTCTCCCTCTGTCCCTCTCTCCCTTTGTCTGTCTCTCTCTTATCTCTCTCTTTCTCTCTCATCATTTAAAATTTGAATTGTAGCTGGGATTATTAATAACTGAGTCTTTTTTGATGCAGGGCCCCAGAAAGAGTTTATGAATTCCTGTTATTGAAATTCTACCCTGGTTCCCATAGGCTTCGTTGTTCAACTTACTAATTTCATATGATCGCTGCTTTTTTTCTTTTTCCAATAAATTCCTTTTATAGACTCTTAAAGTTGGTTTTGGATACTTGTTCCCAATCAAAAAACGCATATATAATAGAAGTAGTGTGTTCTGAGGCAGAAGAAGAAAGAAACAGGGAGAAAGGGATGTAGCTAGAGTGAAAGTTTAAAGGTGATACCATTAACCAAATATAAATATAATTAAAGAAATCATTATTTCCTTCTGGACACCAGTTTATTTTCAAATTTCTAGTTAACACACCTTTCTATTGCAGTCTACATGAGCCCTTTGTATAAAAGTATTTTGGGAAAATATGTACAATACTAATTTTTTTATGCTAAACTTTTGGCTTCTAGGAAAAATAGGATTTCTTAGACTAACTTGATCCAGTTATTATACTTTAAAGTATTTCTAAATGTTATCCATATGTTTAAAAACTCAGTTTCTTTGGTTTGTAGAATTCTGTGCTTATAGGAGAATCTGTTAAATTTTGTTGTTTTAAAGTGGTAATTTATCCCAGTCATGCCCAGGGACACAGAAGAACTATAATGTCCTTTGTGGAGATCTTGAGGGCTCAAAAGATTATGGCATTTAGAGTTGAGTTTGGAAAGGTTTAGGATTACATATCACCTCTCTAATCAAGGTTTATTCCTGTTGTATTGAGGAGCCCTGAAGTCAGGTTGTGGAAATGGTGATCAAGGGATCATCTTTGAAATGTGCTTCCCCCAACCAAACTGTATCTACATTTTCAGTCTCCCAACCAGCCCTGCATTTTCTCTCCACTCTTCTGCCTGACTGGGCCCTCATGTGATGGATGTGAGCACAGCATGCCTGGCCATCTTAGTGCTGAGAACCCAGTTTGGAGGTGAAGTGGGGGTGGGTATAGAGGGGGAGGCAGCAAACTTAGCAAATGGAGAAGAAAAGAGATCTAAATGTGAGGAAAAGACTAAAACAGAAAAAGATAAAAAGAAAAACAGTGGGTATTTCTAATGCATTTGAAGTGATCCTTGGGTCTTGTAACACTTTGAATATTGGCTTATCTAAATTCTGTCACTGAAGTTTTCAAAGGAAATAATAAACAGATACTATGTTCCCATCCATTAGCATGGTTAATATTTACTCTGAGCCGTGCCCGGCTCATGCCTGTAATCCCAACACTTTGAGAGGCCGAGGTGGGTGGATCACTTGAGCTCAGCAGTTCAAGACCAGCCTGGGCAACATGGTGAAACCTTGTCTCTACTAAAAATTCAAAAGTGAGCCAGGCGTGGTGGCATGCAACTGTAGTCCCAGCTACTTGAGAGGCTGAGACAGGAGAATTGCTTGAACCTGGGAGGCGGAGGTTGCAGTGAGTCGAGATCACACCACTGCACTCCAGTCTGGATGGCAGCAAGACTCCATCTCAAAAAACAAACAAACAAAAAATTTACTCTGTAGAGTATGGGAATCAGGTGGAAATGGGGAATGTGTGTATTCTATACAGAGAGCAAGAGTACTTCTTGTTTGCTTAGAGCCATGAATACTTTAGTGCTCGATCTATGAAATTCCTTAATTAATAATACTTACATTTCAAAAACACATTGTTTGCAAAACACTTTTATTGTTATCTCTTTATTTGAGACTCACACCAACCTAATTTTAAGAAGAAAAGGTAAGACAGGATTTGGAGGTTCTTTTTATGTACCCACTACACAGATGAATATACTAGGCTCAGAAAGGTTAAATTACTTACCCAACATCACATGACAAGCAATTGGCAGAACCAGGTCTAGAACCCAGGGAAAGGATTTATTCCACTACAAAGACATGAAACAGGACATTAAACAAACAACATCTAAGAAAATAAGATCTGTAAATAATTAAGGATAGGAAATCTGGAAGATCACATTCCCGTGCTAAACCTGAATGAAATGACTGCAAGTGTGTCTCTCTGATCTAAGCAGACAGGAGAGGGAATTGAACTTTGACTACATCCACCTTGTGAGGGGGACCAATAGAGCTGAGCTTGCATTTACACAAAGCCCACGCTGAATAAGTAATCAGAAATGGTCGTCTGTCCCAGAACATCTCCCCTAATGACCCATCATGATGCTCCTTCCCTTCCTACATTTATTACTTCAACAAATATTTATTGAGAATCTAAGATGTGCCAGACATAGCTTAAAATACCTGTTTTGTCTATAAGTACTTTTTAGAAAGTTTGAAGAAACACACTTTTTCTTAAAGTTCTCCTTCCATAGCCTCACCCACTAAACACTAACATGAACTGGTATTACTTAATCAGAAAAACTCTACCTGGGTCTGACAGGAGGAGAAAATAATAGAAAAACTCAATGCCAAAGAGATTGGGAGCAGTAAGCAAGATATCAAGTGAGGGTATGGCAATTGACAAATACTACTGAACCTTACCAGTTGAAGACAAACTTCACTTACAAATTATTTAGTCTTTCTGCTGTTCTCAAGGACATGCCAATTCAGTCAGAGAAAATACACTACTTAGCGTCTGGCAAGAGTGTTTTCATGGAAAACAGTGGTTGCAATTTGTTCCATGCTGGGCACAATAGGACTACTTCAGAACCCAAGTCCCTTCAGTCTATTTAAACCTAAGAAAAATCCAATTCATCTGGTACTAACATTCCTTTAACAGTCATTTGAGGGACTACTTACCATTCACCCTCCCTATACCTCCAATCATGATTTATCTTTGTGAAATATTATTATGTGGATACTTCAGACGGAAGAAAAGAAATCCAAATGAAGGTAAAATTAATTTTTGAGCACACACACCTAAGCACAGGCCAGCACTACATGCATTTAAAGAAAAAAATATTGCTACTCTTAGTTGATTTATTTCATGGATCACACAGATTGATTTACGGTCTATTTGTAAGAGTTGTGAAGCAAAGCAGTGAGTGCAAGTACTTGGAGCCTCAAAGTAAGGGCATGTGAAGATCCAGAGTTGTGGTAACCAGAGAGGGTGGGGCTGTAATGTTGGTTGTTGGACGAGGAGGACATGGAGGGGAGATAGTGCCAGCTATGAGAGTTCAGAGAAATACAGTCTATAAATGGGTTCATTTTGTGGCTGCTTTTATTAAAAACTGATGGCTGTCATGTCTATAAGTGAATAACAAGAATCACTGATGATCAGTTCCACTTTAAAATTTCATGCCAAGACATTTTTTTAAAAATCTCCTAGTGATTCTATCCATTTAGATATGCTACAGCCTGTGAAAAGACTATAAACCTGGTTCCATATTTATTTAGCAAACAGATTATTCATGGTTAACATGAGTTATTTTATGTACCAAGTATTATGGTAGAGATAAAACAAGAATTATGTTTTCATCCTTTTCCCCAAGAAGCTCACAGGGTAGACACCAGAATGTGAAAAAATAAATGTCAAATAGTGCAATAAGTGATAATAGAGATAGTACAAAATACAGCATGGGCAAAAAGAAGGTAGAAGAAAACTTAATTAGGAAGGTTAAGAATGGCTTCAAAGAGCTAACTCTTGCAGGGAAAGTGGGAATATTTCAGGCTGAGAGGGAAGGGTAACATGGGCAGAGAGTGGAGTACAAGCGAAGGCACCAAGGCCTGAAATCTTGGCATGGTGTCATCAGGTAAAAAAAAAAAAAAGAGCAGGGGGGCTGTTGGAATTTGGCACTAGAAAAGCAGGCAAAACTAGATTGTGTCATTGATGCTGAAGAGTTTATATTTTAACAAAGAAAATAACAAAACCCGATTTGCATTTTGTAAAGATAGCTGTGGTGTTATTTGCAAGGTAAACTAAAGAACAATGTGGTGGTAGAACTCCACATAGAAAGTTACTGCTTTTGTCCAGATGAGTAGTCATGAAAAGTCTGTGCCAGGTTATTTATATAAACAGGGTAGAAAAGCAGAGGATTTATTCAATCTTTTAAACAAGAATCAAGGAATCAAAGGATTTAGAAACTGGATATGGGAGTTGAAATAAAATACATTCAGGATTACTCTCAGGTTCCTAGAGCTCTGAGGCTGGATGGACAGTATCAGAGCAATAATTGTAGTGAGGAAGATCAAGTGTGATACACAACAGAAGACACTGAGTTGGGTTTTGTACCTAACAAACTTGTCTCTGAAATGAAGCACTTAGACCAAGATAACTATGGATCAGAAGCTAAAAACAGACATCTGATCTACAGATCTGGAAATCACACAGGTGGCTAAAGATTTGGATGTGGATGACCTGATGAGATCACCTAGGATTAGTGAGTCAAACGAGAAGAGTGGAATGAATGAAGATTATGATCCAGGAGATCATAGATTTGGGGAGGTGGGTGAAGAGAGCAAGAGAAGCCTATAAGGAGACTGAGCAGGGTCTTATCTGAGAGGGAGAATAAGGAGAGCTATTAATATCATGCAGACCCAGTAAGGGGACAGTTTCAGGAACAGGGATTGACAACAACACAAAATGCCAAAGAGACATCAAATAAGATGTAAAATGAAGGGTCACTGGATGTGACACCCTTTCAGAATATGTTTTTCAGTGAAATTATGAAAATCAAAGCCAAATTAAACTAGATGGAATAGTGAATGGGGAGTGAAGAAGAGGAGAAAATGAGGGTGGAGAGTACTTGGAACTTTGTTCTAAAGGGAGAGTGAGACAGAGAACTATAGAGATGGGGACATAGAGTCAGGAGAGAATCTTTTAAGATAGATGAGGCAAAAGCATATTCATAAACTATAAGGAAAGGAGCCAGTGCAGCACAAGAAGATGAAATCTCAAGAAAGAGCAGGGCATGAGGGACTGGGGCTCTGGGGAAAACACGGGGGGAGGAGCAAGAGCACAAGCAGAAGGCTCAACTAAGACTAGAAGGAACTCATCTCTAACAGGGAAAGGTAGACACAGCAGGCACTAGATCATCCTGCAAAACTGGGGCCTCTAAGACAAGCCTCAAATTGCAAAACTTGGGGAGAATAAAAATTTCTTATATTGATCTTTATTTTCACATCAAGTATGTTTAAGCCCTACAAAAATCCTTAAGGTAAGCAAAGTGTTCATTTGTGTCTGGTTTTTGGTTTTTACTCTTCATTCTACAGAAGGAAACTGAAACCCAAGGTGATGTGGTTTATTAAAGCTCACAGTCAGTAAGTGGCCTCCACTAAGGACTCACAGTATAATATTCTTCCCAACACTTCTGAAAATGTTATGAAGATTTAATTACAAAGGTACAAAAGCCACCTGACCACACTTCACAAATTGAAAAGGGAGAATTCCTGTATGAAATCACTTCTTTGGTTTGCAACAGCCACTGCTTGGTTGCCCTAATGCCTTTATTAATACTAATAGGGAAGTGAATAGTTAAATGCTGCTATACCTTCTCTTGAGATGACCTGGTTATGTGCATTCTTTGAACTATTAATAGAGGAAGACTTGTCTTACTTTATCAATACGATTGGTTAATATATATGCTCTATTCTTGCCTGAAAGAACACCAGTACCCTTCCTTATGGGGCCAGGTAAAATTCTGAAGTCTGTGGATTAATTCAGCCCCAGGAATAACACTGGCAATTTCACTATGACAGAGGCAAAGGAGACCCCAAGCCACTCTCCCTCTCGGTGAACAGGAGTACTGCCCTTTAGCTTGAAACATCAAAGGAGGTTTCTGTAGTTTTGCCAGCTCAGCAAGAAAGAAAATTAACTCTGCATTTTCTTATTCCAGTTGCCTCAGCATGGGTTGGTAGGGGAGGGGGTGGGGAAGAGAGTTACACAGACTCTGTCAGCAGGAGAGATCAGGGCTCATTGTGTATGCGCCCTGGCATGGGTTAGAAGGAATTATAGAGTCACCAGAAATGAACACTTTCTAGACTCACCATGAATTTTCTAAGGTTCTCTGCAAGTCCAGATAATTTGGCAAAAAAAAAAAAAAAAGAAAGAAAAAAGAAAGAAAATGCCCTTCAAATATTTTTTCTGTTTAAATTTGGAAACCTGTGGTGAAAATCACTATTAAAAAAAAAAAAAAGAACGAGAAGCTTCAATTATATTAAGTAAAATGGCTCAGCTTAATTAATTCACTAAGTCCCTGAGTGACACTGGGTGTGGCTCAGAGAGATTTGGGAGGAATCCAATTTATCACTAGGAAGAATCGCCTGCACCAAGCAGCAAGGCAGCATCCTTCCACACCTTCCCAACACTGCAAGGAAAGGCAGAGAGGTCGGAATTTTAAACCACAGATCACACTCTCAGAGATAAGATTTATTTGTTGCATGAGGAAAAAAGCAGATATTGGCATGGATGGGGGGCTGGGGAGTAGAGGGACTACTTGCTTGCATGAAATTCTTTACACTTCAATTACAAACTAAAGTCATTATTTTTCAACAAAAGAAACACCTCATAGTTTTCTTGCTTTGTAGACATAAATCACACCTTGCCAAGTTTTTAATCATCTGCAATACACATGGCAATTAAGCTATTTAAAGTAAGCCCCAAGATATTTGAAAATCATAAGGCAATACAATATTAGGGATTATTTTATTTTATTCCTCCTTTGCCCACTCCTTTACCATATTCTCATCTCTACCCCACTCTCATTCTCTTCTTCCTGCTATAATAATCTATAGTGATAACTAATGGCTAATAGAGATCATTTATGCTTTCTTCTCACCCACTGGCAATGTATTCCAACTTAGAAATCCAAGGTTGCTTCTTTATGCCGCTCAAGTGGAAGAGGAAGGAAGTGCAAGCCCTTCAGCCCCCCTCCCACGTTTCTGCTGGATTTTATGGGTGTGGCAGAGCTTAGACCTTTGCAGGTTTTTGCCCTTGTTTTATTCCCTGTTAAGTACTACGATGATGAATAGATGCCAGCAGAAGGATGGGCACCACTGGATTTTGTCATAAATGATACAGAATTTCATCCACAAGCAGGCAACCTGCGTGAGACTTAAGTACTCATGCTACATAAATGCCAGTCAGTGTAGTGTGAGCCCACGCCCTGAATACACCATTTCCTTTAGTCTGATTGAATGGTATCCTAAATACTGGCTAATGTGAATGATACACAACAGTGGTTTATAAGAGACATGACCATTTCACACAGAAGTACACATTTATAAAATGCATGAGCAAAGTAGGACAATTTCTATACCTTTAATTTTCTCTTGAATATAAATGATGCTAAAACACAGAGAGGCATGTGGAAACCACTTACACATGCAACTGTAGCATATGAAGTATGTGGATGCTGTATACATTTACATGCGAATTTCTACAACTCTAAACACAATTTCAGCTTCATCACTTTGCACATCAGAGTGAATGCTTGGGGCTGTTGGTGAGATAGAGCCCCAGGGAAGGCAGCTGTCTTCATTTTGGGAAGGGAATTCCTTTAGCCCTAATTCCTTTTCTAAAAATCATACATGATTTCCTTTATTAAAGGAGATGTATGTATACTTGCATATGTACACATAGGGTGGGAACAAATTATGAACCTGAATATTTTTCTTTCCAAAATTAAAGCTTTTTAAGTGGATGGCTTTGGCTTACTTAGTGCTCCACCTTCCTAAATGTTATTTCCCCAGCTCACCAGTGAAATAACCTCAGGACTTTTCTTTGACAGTGTTCTTAACCCAGACACCTGTATTTATTACATTTATATATTAAAATGAAGGAGGACACAGAGAGAAAATGCCCTGGTTTGATAAAATGAGCCAATGGAAGCATCAATCTCTGTAACCATAGGGCAGTTTCAGGAGATGCTGCAAATACCGCCCCCAACTCAATCCCCCACTATCCGACTTTTTCCCCCAAATAGCCCCACACAATCCAGGATGTCTGCTTATTTATTTATTTATTTATTTATGCCAAATCTCTACTCCCACTGCTCTGACATTCTGCTTCAGTCTCCCATCCTCTTCCTGCTCCTTCTCCTTCATCCTCACTCCCCACCCTTCCTTCCAGGGCGCTGGCTAAATGTGCTAAGCTGGCAGGCTGTTTCTTCTCCACTCTCTTCCACCCCCTTCGGATTCAGGGAGTGTATTACAAATTGCCCAATTTCCAATACCTGCACTGGAAATTATACCCAAATTCCATCTCTTGCACCCCACCCCTAAGGCAATCAGTCTGCGAAGGGCTTCTTTGACCAAGATTGCCCCCACCACACCCCCACCCCCACCACAGTCAAGCATACGCACACACTCACCCGTATCCCACACCCATTTTTCTCTTTAACCTTTGCCAAAATCACTCAAATGCATTCCAACAAATGTTTGAAAGCTTCTTTTGGAGACTGCCATGGCATGGTCGGTTGCTGCGGAATACCACACTCGTCATTCCTTCCCACTCTCACCCCAATCAAGTTTCTAAAATGTCTTTCAAGAAATAAGCGAGCAATTGGAAATGGCTGTAAAACCTGGGCAGTGGGGGAGGGAAGGAGGGGCTCTGATTCTTGCTAATCTTGGATGTGTCCCTCTTCCTGATGAAAATGAGTCACCATACTTATTATCCAGGATGTTAGCCTGTCTCTGGTCACTGACAATCCCAGGAAAGAAGCAAGGGAAGGGGATAAGAGAAAAGACCTGGTTTCCAACAGGTAATACCCGGCTGTCTTTCCCATCCCATCGGAGCTCCTAGGGGCGTGGTCCACCCTCTCCTCCGACCAGCTGGTGCACAATCGGCTGCTGATCTTAGGAAGGGGATTTTCTCCTTCTGCATGGCCAATTTCTCCCCCAGCCCCAGTTGTCTTAGCTTCTCTTAAAAAAAAAAAAAATCTATCAAATCACAGTTTCATTCATTCATTGAAAAATAAATACTAAATAAATAAGACCTGCACGTTTTTCCATAAATACCTGCGCCCCTTCGAAGCTCATGCATGCACGAAATAAGGCATCTTCCGCAGCACATGTGAGAAAATTGTATGACAGAGAGGCAATACTCAGTTCTGAATATTATTTCCTCAACCCTGCTTTTTTGCAAATAATATAAAGAAATGCCTCCCCATCTTGTAGGTAGAGCCCACATCATCTCCCCCACACCCCTTTCTACGTCCACACCCTCAAGACCAGAGACCTCAAATGCTGAGCATTCACTAATAAGAAAAAAAAAAATTATTTCTAGCCAAACAGGCATGTTTTTTCTACCCTCACCCTAATTAGTAGCAGCATTCCAAAACCAGAGCATGAAAGACAGAAAAGAATAAAAGCTGGGATGCAACCATCAGTTACCATATGCTAAGGAAGCGCGAGCACCACGGCCAGAGCAGAAGCAGTAAAAAAATTGTTTGCCTTTACGGGGAAATACTGTACTCGGGTTATTTCACAACAGCAAGAAGTAAAAAATCTTTAGCTCTACCTGTTTGGTTCTTCTCATACAGCACAGCATGGTTGTCTCGTCCCTTGCCTTCTTCCTGCCTTCTCTCCTTTCCTTCTCTCTCTTTCTTATTCCCCCCCTCTCCACCTCTTTTCTGCTCGCTTGCTCACTCGCTCTCTCGCGCTAGCGCGCTCTCTCTCCCTCCCTCCCTCTCTCTCCCTCACACACACCAGGGCAGTTAGCAGCAACTGTAAGGTCCACAGCTATTGCTCATCGCACATGCTCGCTCCCTCTCTCTAGCGCTCTCTCTCTCTCTCCCTCTCTCTCTGGTGCTCTCTCTCCGCTGTCCTCTCTTCCCTCTCTTCTCCTTTTTTCTCCTTCCCCCCAATATCTATCTATCTGTCTTTTTCTTCCCTCTCTCTCCGTCTCTTTCTCGGAATTGTTCTCTAGCCTTCAGTGACTAATCACTTCCCCCAGCCCCTACCCCCATTCTAGACAGTCGCCCCCTCCCAGTCCCCTGCCAGCCTCATGAATATTTAAACACCTCCAATCTGGACCCAATTACCCACCGACTTTTCCACTGCATTGAGAGGGTGATGGGGTGGGGGCAGAGAAGGATATTCCAGTCAATCCAGGAGATATGATAGAGCATGTTTTAGGGAAGAGGGGCTTGAGGAATCCTTGTATTTCTTTAAGAACTCTTTTCCTCTTTTCCTAGTATTATAAAAGCAAAGAACAGCTATTTCTAAAGAGGAATTGTAGTCAGTCCTATACAATATAAGTCATATCTGCCATTACATTTTATGCATAGTTAATAATTGTGGAGGTTAATTTCCCTCAAAAAATGAAATAACATGTAAATATCATACACTGTTTATATATTCTTCTCAGTATACATATAACCTGAAATAAATACAAAGCTTAGATATGCACAAGCATATTTTATATATGTTCCAATATCCTGGAAAAAAATCCACATAAATATATTGCATTTTAAACATTCTAAGCACTTGAGCTCAGAAATAATAAACAATGTTTAAGAATTGGCATCCATATCTAAAATCACATGGTAGTTTTTTGTTTTTTCCTTAATGCACATATACCTGTTTGTAAATTGTGGTTTCTTCTAATTTTACTGAAAAAGCTGAGCACATTCAAACAGGTCTGTGTAATATTGACGGTGATCAAAATGATATTTTACAATTTGGGCATGAGAGATTAAAGTGAATTCATCTGAGATGAGAAGAAACGATAAGTCATGAAGCCTACTTCTTGAATTCCTTCTATGGCCTTTCATAATTTTGGGGGAGGAACATGTGACTCTTAAAGTGTGTATAGCACAATTTTTAGTTATTTATTGTTGAATGAGTTTGAGTGTGTTACTGAAGCTCTTTGCACCTAATTTTCTCATCTTTAAAATGGAGATAATAATGCCAATCTTGACAACATGTTTTGAGGACTAAATGATATAACGCATGCAAAGCACAACAGTCTCTCTGAGTGTATAATAGCTTTACTCCAGAGACTGTACTTTTCTGAAATTCGGGTGACATTTGCAAGTGAATATCTCAAAGAAGTTTTCAAACTATTTCTTGTTGTTCATTAGTGATGACAAGTACCCCTAATTAAACAGCTCATATTCTTCATAGTCCCTCCTAGACCTCCTAGACATAAACCTAGCTAATAAGTGGCAACTAGGCAGCTTATTGTTAGGCATATTTCAGGATCACTGAGCTCAATAAGTGCTTAGTACATTTTAACATAATTTAAGGTATATCTATTTCAAAATGGACTATCTCAGACAGGTACCTGGGAACGATGGTGATGATGATACCCAGGAGGTGATATTTAAAATTAGCCTTAATTATTCCTCAGGAGTCTTCCTGAGAGTGGCCTGCTTCAGATCCGCTGATTTGGTCTTTCATTCTTCTCAGTTTGCTTCCTAGTTTTCATATTTATGATTAAAAAACAGAATTAGTTTCTGAGTTTAATAATTTTTTAATGTTACAAGGAGCCCAGCCGCTTTCAGAACAGCCTTCCGTGATTTTAAGTGATAAAAGAGGACAAAGAGTGGGTGAGAAATGGCTCCTACCAGAAACATTCCGGTTGCAGATTAGGAACACCCTACCTAGCCTGCTAGTGGCTAAAGAGCAATGAAGGGAGGAGGCAGAGAATGTGGGGATTGGGGATGATGGAGAAGAAATTGCACCTTTTGGTGTTTAAACAGGATAACTCCATTGATAAGACCATTTCATTAACTATGTGGCCAAACTTAAAGAGTGGGACTAATTCCTTTCCCTTTCGATGTACTCACCTCAGCCATCCCATTTATATTTTTCCCCCTTTATATATGGGAAGGAACCTTGGAAACAAAGTGGCATAATGAAGTTAAACAAGCTAGGGCTTAAAACTGGGCACAAGCATTGATGAACTTTGTGACTAAATATGTGAAACCACCCAGCTCAGAATCAGCTTCCTCATCAGTTTACATGCATTATTTTATCTAATACTCAAAATGAGGTAGGCACAAGTAGTAATCCCATTTTGATGGGGATGCTAAAGCTAAGGGAAGTTAAGTGCCTTGACTAAGTCACAGAACTAAGAAGTAGTAAAGCTAGGACTCTATGTCTCTTAACAACTAGGCTACATCAATCACCACTTAATAGGCCTCTACTCTTCATTACTTCTAGTCCTTAAGAGATTAAACTACATAGTGGAAGTTTTAATGTTGAAATGAAATCAGCATTCAATGTTGAAATGAAATCAGCAAGATCCATCTTTTAGGCCCAACTCTTACTTCAAGAGCCATGGAGAATAAGCTGATATCTTCATGCAATAGAGAGCCCTCTATGTATTTCTGATGAGATGTCTGCTCCTTCAACTACCCTCAGGTGTCTCAGTGTGTAAGGTCCTCACCATTTTGGATGCCTTCCTCTGGACATACTACATTCTGTCAATGAACCTTTAAAAATTACCTCCCAATTTGGAAGCCTAAGATTCCAAATTTAATTTGAATAACATGGAATCAATTCTAATGCATCTTTTTCTCTAAGCAATGGTGGTTATGGATGGCAAAAGAATAAGGGAGAGACAAGCACAAACTGATATGAGCTTTGCAAAAAATATATAAAAAATAAAATAACCGATGTCCCGATTTTTGCCAAGCAAATACACAATAGACCCACTAATCCTTGTACTTTATAACTAATCCTAGACAATGCATAGGCTTAAGCCCCATGGCTAACCCTTTTACAATTTTAGATTAGCAAATTAACTCATAATACTATCAATTAACTTCTTGACTATAGGTTAGACAATAATAACATTCTAGAAAAAGATGAAGAGTGGTGGAGGCCAGATCCCAGTTCCACGCTCAGATCTCTTTGAACTTTATACTAAAGTGATACTGCTTGTATAATAAAACCAAAAGTCACTGACCTTTACTAAGGGCTCTGTAAAATAGTCTACCATTTTAAGATTATGGCTGGTACTTGAGAGAAGACAATGTCATCAATTCAGGTAGAAAAGATGTTAGTCTTATTTCTCCCTTTTTTAAATTTTATTTTATATTTTATTTTATTCTATTTTATTCTGAGACAGGTTTTCTCTTTGTCGCCCAGGCTGGAGTGCAGTGGTGCAAACATAGCTCACTACAACCTTGAAATCCTAGGCTCAAGCAATCTTCTACCTCAGCCTTCTGAGTACACAAGCCTTCTGTGAACTACAAGTACACGTCACCACTCCTGGCTAATTTTTTTTTTATTTTTTATTTTTGTAGAGACAAGGTCTCATCATGTTGCCTAGACTGGTCTCAAACTGCTGGCTTCAAGCAATCCTCTCACCTCGGCCTCTTCTCTTATTTTTTCAGTGCTTAATCTAAGCCTTTTACTTGCTGCATTAGTTTTCTAGCATTGCCGTAACAAAATAGCACAGACTGGGTGGCCTAAAAAACAGAAATGTAATTTCTGACAGTTCTGAAGTCTGGAAGTCCAAGATCAGGCTGGTGGCTGAGTTGGTTTCCTCTGAGAGTCCTAAAGGAAGGTCCTTTCCAAACCTCTTTCCTGCACTTGCAGCTGGCCGCCCTCTGCTGCCTCTGCACATGGCATGGTTGCCCCCCTGTGTGCATGTGCACCTCTGCTCTCTGTCCCTGTGTATCGTAAGCTCCCCTTCATAAGGACACCAATCAAATTGGATTAGGGCCCACACCTATGGCCTCATTTCACCTTAATTTTCTCTGTAAAGGGTCACATTAAAGATCTCCAAATACAGTCACATCTTAAGGTACTGGGAGTTAGGTTCCAACATATGAATTTGCAAATAAGGGGGACATAATTCAACCCAAACACCTGCTTTCTCTGTCCATACTTGCTGTTTTCATTCACTTAATCTATAGTTTCTATGTTGCAAAAATCATCCTTCCCTCAAGGAAAGTCACACGTACATGAAAAGCAAAGCAAACACTGTGTGCACAAAATATGATTCAATGTCAAATGTGTTTGATAAGAATTCAAAATAGGAAATAAACCACTGTAGACTAAGATGGGCTTTTTGTTTCAGGATTAGGATTAGAATGAATAGAGAAGACATAGGAGTTTTAAAAAAGGGAAAGGGATCACATTAGAAAAGACAAAATGCACAAATAATCACTGCATGATCAAGGGACTGGCAGGATACAGAAGTGGGGGGAGTTGTAAAGGATACTGGTAAGAGACAATGTTGAAAACGTAGGTTAAAGCCAGATTAAGAGGGATCTTCAAGATCAGGCTAAGGGGATATATTAGTTTCCTAGGCCTGCTGTAACAAATTTGGTAGCTTAAAACAACAGAATATTACTTTCTCACATTTCTGAAAACCTGAAGTCTGAAATCAGTTAGCAGGGTTTTGTTCCCTCTGGAGGCTCTGAGGGAGGATACATTCCAGATCTTTCTTTTAGCTTCTGGTGGCTGTGGTCAATCTTTGGTGTTGCTTGTTTTGAAGAAGCATCACTCTAATCTCCGCCTTCGTCTTCATAAGACCTTCCCCATTCTGTGTCCCTGTGTCTTTCCGTTTTCTTCATTCTTTTTTTTTTTTTTTTTTTTTTGAGGCAGAGTCTTGCTCTGTCACTTGGGCTGGAGTGCAATGGCGGGGTCTTGGCTCACTGCAACTTCTGCCTCCCAGGTTCAAGTGATTTTCTTGCCCCAGCCTCCTGAGTAGCTGACACTACAGGCATGTGCCACCACGGCTGGCTAATTTTTTGTATTTTTAGTAGAGGACTAGTTTTGCCATCTTGGCCAGGCTGGTCTCAAACTCCTGACCTCAGATGATCCACCCGCTTCAGCCTCTCAAAGTGCTTGGATTACAGGCATGAACTACTGTGCCTGGCCCCATCTTTCTCTTTCTTAGAAAGACATCTGTCATCAAATTTAGGGCCCTCCCTAAATCCAAGATGATCTTATCTTGAGATCCTCAACTTCATTACAAATTACACCTGCAAAGACTTTTTTTCCAAGAAAGTTCACATTCAGTGGTACCAGGAATTAGGACTTGGACATAGCTTTTTGGGAGACGCAAGTCACCCCACTACAAGGGATTAGACCTAAGATTTGTGGATGGGGACATTTTAAAGAATGCCTGTGGTAACATTGTGTAGTATGAAATGGTGAGAAAGATATACTGGGGTCCTGTGAGAGAAACATATATCTGCGAGGAATCATGGAAGAAAAAGTGAACTGTCACCTGTTAAGTACCTAATATGTTCCATATACCACATATTTTGTGCTTTACATAGTTTGTTTCTTTTATCTCACAGGAGAATATCTAGGAGGAAGAGAAGAATGGAAGAACCAAAAGTTGTACAGAGATTGAACCTAGACAGCCTGGAAAATGAGAATTATAAAAGTCAGAAAGGGACCTGGTTTTGTGAGAAAGGTGATGAGTCAAGCTTGAAAGTGTTCATTTTATGAAAGCATTGACGTGTTCAAGAGCAATACAGGATCAGATGGTAAGAAACAAGAGTCAGAATTGTCTTTCTATGGGTCATTGTTGGAGCCATCAAAGGGAATTCATTTTGTGAGCTACAGTGTGCTATAGAAATCAGAGGACCAAAGAATAAACTTTGAGAAATGTTCAGGTTTCAGGAACTTAAAGACAAGATCAAGAAAAGAAGCCATCAAGGGGGTAAACTAGAGGTAACAATAGCCTAAAAAATGCTTGAGAAAGTTCCTTGCCTTTATCCTCTTAAAATGTCATTTATACATTCAATTGATTTGTCATTATTTAAATACCTGCATAAGTAAGTAAACCAGGTGTGATTTTTTAAGTATCCATAGTGAGAACTATTCAAGGAATGACACATCTCTTTCCAGAAGAAGGGAACGTTCTACATTGTGCTGTCTCAAGATGTTAATTTTAATCATCCTGAATGGAAATACTGAAATTCAAAAACCATAACAATAGCTGGTCCGAAAACAATATATCATCAAGATCCAAGATTTGAAGTAGGACAACATGGAGGTGCACTGACGTTAAACTAACATCCTCTTAGCTAAAAAGTAACAAAACAAAAAACAAAACAAAGAAAACTCCAAATTAAAATCTTTACTTTTCAGTGGTGAGATTCTTACAGCACTTGGTTTCCACACCTTCTCGGTCATAGTGGGGCATTTTCTACAGTAGAAGATGCCTCATGTGTGTCTACCAGGTGAAGAAGCAACAGCAGCAGAAATCACAAAATTAGATCCTTGCTCTATACAAATCAAGCTGAAACAATAATTATATCTAAGAATGTACTGGGAAATCTTCAATACTCCTGTGGACTTTTAAATACTTTTTAGCAGCATTCAGGGCTCAGATGACCTTGGTTTGGGACACATTTCTCAAGGTCTGTTAGCACCAAACCACCTAAATGTGGATTCCTCACGTTTGCCCTGTTCCATGGCTTGGCACCCAGCAGTACAACATTAAATAAAATCTCTCTCAGATAGAAACTTTAGAACTAGGTATTCAACTACTTGCTGTGAATACACACAGATGGCTCATAGATACCCCCATCTCAAACTAAAACTCAACTTGGCCTCTTGGCTGCCAGCTTGTTCCTCTCACTATATTCCCGGTATTAGTAGAGCGCCCCATGATTCATCATTCACCCTAGTCAGCATCACCTCCTCCTTCTCCATGACAACCACCACGCCAAAACCAACCAGTTTTCATTTCCTCCTAAATGTTCTGCCCATCTTTATCTCTGAAATATTCTTTTTTAAGTCTTTCTTCTTCAATTCCTCTAACGCAGGCCTTCAGCATTTCTGGCCAAGATTATTGCAATAACATTCTAATTGGTTTTGCTATTTTTGTATTTACCCACCATTTAGTTCTACCTTCCACACTTCACCCAGATGGATCTATCTAAAATGAAAATCAAACAACACCCTTCCCCTTCCTAAAATCCCTCTGTGGATCCCTGTGCCATAATTAGTCAGTCTCAAACTTTCAGCACACAAAAGAACCGCCTGAGGAACTTGTTAAAAATGCAGATTCTCTGTACCTCTTTAACAGATCATTGGACTTGGTAGATGGGAGGAAGTGCTTAGAATCTGCAATGTGTATAGTTATCGTTTTGGGATAAGGTTGGCACAGTGACCTTGGATCACACTTCGAGAAAGAATGGTCTGAAGAACAAAGCTCAAGCTCAAATTAATGACTCCTGATACTGTTCTGGCAGTATCTTCTACCTCTCCCCATTTTACACTTTATAATGTAAGGAAGAAGTCGTTCAATGAACACCCCATCTTGTTTCCATTCTTGAAGCCATTCTGTTCCATATACTTAGAAATCTTTACCCACTTCATATGAGTCTTGAAAACTCAGTAACCAGACAAAAAGTAAACTTCCCTGAGCAGCCTTCTCTGAACTCCCAGAAGAGACTTGCTCACCTCCTCTGGGTCCCATAACACGCAGGATACAGTATTTTAGTGGCACTTGCCACACTAATATTATTTACTGTCCTCACTCAGATGTAAGTTTTCTGTTTGCAGGGGCCCTCTCTTATTCATCTTTTTACTCCTAGCACCTGGCCTGGTGGCTGGCACATAACAGGTACTTAGCAAATATTTTCTGACCGGACCTGGATTGTTGTTCTGAGATGAGGATGCCAGGCAGAGCCTGCCAAAAGCTTCCAGGCAGACATGGCTGCATCTGGTTCCAAGGAGAGGCTTGCCTCTATGATATGATGTCACCATATTAATTAGGCTGATAGCATTTCAGTATGGCATCACTGCCAGGATTCACCCTGCTTTCTGTAGGCAGACAAGATTTCTGAAGCCAAGATCTGGATGATTTAGGGGACCCTCCAAATCTCCATCCCTCTTTCCAGACTTGTCTCAAGTCCTTTCAGAGTTCCTCCTTCCAGCACACCATGGAAGCCACCTGAATTTCTGAATAGCCAATATTCCATAACAAAGAAATCTTAGTGAGGGAGCCCTGTGCTGGTGGCACAGAAAGAGAAGATTTTCATCTATGTAGCCCATAAGCTAAGACTTAACTTGTCACTCAGCTCCAGAGGAAGTTTATGATTGAATGAACAAATCTAACTCAGTGGCTTACTAGTGCATTAAGCAGGTAAGGTGAAAAATTCCATTAAATTGCACCAACTTCCACCACCAACACACCATCACAGGCTGAAATCAAAGCATTCCATTGGGCTTAGTCACTGAAGTAGCCACAGAACTTTTTGCATACCTCTTACCTCTTTTCTATTCGCCTTTCAGTATAGTGACAGCTTGTTTACAAGCTTATATCCTGCCTAAAATGCACATTTCTGGATGGCAAGCACCATGTCTCAGTTTTTAAATTGGTTTAAATTTGTTTTTTAAATTTGTTTTAAATTTAAACAATTTAAACACCAATTTGTTGGTGTTTCCAGCAGGGATATACATAGGCCTTATCGGGATTAAAGAGTATATGATTTGGAGGGACCCTTCTTTAAGAAAAAGAATACGAGTTAAGTATGAAATGAATACTTATGTAGAATAAGGAAATAAATCACAAGTTGTATATTTTTAAACATTGATATCTATCACAAATATCACAGCATTCAGAAACATAAATGTATTATTTTCTTTAATTTAATTTAATTTTACCTTCTGGGATACATGTGCATGTTTGTTACATAGGTAAAGGTGTGCCATGGTGGTTTGCTGCACCTATCAATCCATCACCTAGGTATTAAGCCCTGCATGCATTAGCTATTTATCCTGATGCTCTCCCTCCCACTCCCCTTCTCCCAACGGGCCCCAATGTGTGTTGCTCTCCTCCCTGTTTCCATGTGTTCTCATCATTCAGCTCCAAATTATAAGTGAGAACATGCAGTGTTTGGTTTTCTGTTTCTGCATCAGTTTGCTGAGGATAATGGCTTCCAGCTCCATCTAGTCCCTGCAAAGGACATGATCTTGTTCCTTTATATGGCTGCATAGGATTCCATGGTGTATATGTACCATATTTTCTTTATCCAGTCTATCATGGATGGGCATTTGGGTTGATTCCATGTTTTTGCTATCGTGAATAGTGCTGCAATGAACATACGCATACATGTATCTTTATAATGGAATGAATTATATTCCTTTGGGTATATGCCCAGTAATTGGCATTACCGGGTCAAATGGTATTTCTGGTTCTAGGTCTTGAGGAATCACCACACTATCTTCCACAATGGTTGAATTGAACTAATTTACATTCCCACCAACAGTGTAAAAGTGTTCCTATTTATCCACAGCCTCACCAGCATCTGTTGTGTCTTGACTTTTTTTTTTTTTTTTTTGAGATGGAGTCTCGTTTTGTTGCCCAGGCTGGAGTGCAGTGGCGTGATCTCGGCTCACTGCAAGCTCTGCCTCCCGGGTTCATGCCATTCACCTGCCTCAGCCTCCCAAGTAGCTGGGACTACAGGCACCCACCACCACACCCGGCTAATTTTCTGTATTTTTAGTAGATACGGGGTTTCATCCTGTTAGCCAGGATGGTCTTGATCTCCTGACCTTGTGATACGCCCAACTCGGCCTCCCTAAGTGCTGAGATCACAGTTGTGAGCCACCACGCCCGGCCTCTTGACTTTTTAATAATCGCCATTCTGACTGGTGTGTGATGGTATCTCATTGTGGTTTTAATTTGTATTTCTCTGATGATCAGTGATGTTGAGCTTTTTTTCATATACTTGTGGGCCACATAAATGTCTTATTTTAAGAAGTATCTGTTCATATATTTTGCCCACTTTTAATCGTTTTTTTTCTTGTAAATGTATTTATGTTCTTTGTAGATTCTGGATGACCTTTGTCAGATGGGTAGATTGCAAAAATTTTCTCCCATTCTGTAGGCTGTCTGTTCACTCTGATGGTATTTTCTTTTGCTGTGTAACAGCTCTTTAGTTTAATTAGATCCCATTTGTCAATTTTTTGCTTTTATTACAATTGCTTTTGGCAATTACATCATGAAATATTTGCCTGTGCCTATATCCTGAATAATATTGTTTAGATTATCTTCTAGGGTTTTTATAGTTTTGGGTTTTACCTTAAGTCTTTAATCCGTTTTGAGTTAATTTTTGTATAAGGTATAAGGAAGGGGTCCAGTTTCAATTTTCTGTGTATGGCTAGCCAATTTTCCCAGCCCCATTTGTTAACTGTCTCTGTTTGTAGATGACATGATCCTATATCTAGAAAACCCCATCCTGTCAGCCCAAAGCTTCTTAAGCTGATAAGCAACTTCAGTGATGTCTCAGGATACAAAATCAATGTGCAAAAATCACTAGCATTTCTATATACCAACAACAGACAAACAGAGAGCCAAATCATGAATGAACTCCCATTCACAATTGCTACAAAGAGAGTAAAATACCTAGGAATACAGCTAACACGGGAAGTGAAAGACCTCTTCAAGGAGAACTAGAAACCACTGCTCAAGGAAATCAGAGAGGACACACAAATGCAAAACATTCCATGCTCATGGATAGAAAGAATCAATATGATGAAAATGGCCATACTGCCCAAAGTAATTTATAGATTCAATGCTATTCCCATTAAATTATAATACCATTGACATTCCTCATAGAATTAGAAAGAAACTACTTTAAAATTCATATGGAACCAAAAAAAGATCCCTTATAGCCAAGACAATCTTAAGCAAAAAGGACAAAGCTGAAGCATTACGCTACCTGACTTCGAACTATACTCCAAGGTTACAGTAACCAAAACAGCATGGTGCTGGTACAAAAACAAACACATAGGCCAGTGGAACAGAATAGAGATCTCAGAAATAAGACCACACATCTACAACCATCTGATCTTTGACAAACCTGACAAAAACAAGCAATGGGGAAAGGAATCTCTATTTAATAAAAGTAATATTTTCTAATAACTGCCTGGCAGGTCTCTGCAAATTTTTTTTGCATTTTTTTAGCTCTCTGCTCTTTGATAACCTCTTTATGTGAAAATGACTTTGTAATATAATTTTTTAAGGCAGAATGGAAAGATAATCTAGTGTTTCCTCTAAAATAGTTGGATTTGATTTTACTATTGAGAGCTGGGAGTCTTAAAACAGGAGACTTCATGTACAGATGTATTTGTTGTCTAGGGCACTAGCAGTAATACAAAAACACAGGAATTCTGAGAAATTCTATTTCAAACAATTGCTATCAAAAGAGAAAAATATGTATATTTACAGTTGTATACACAGCATTATCAAACTTATTTCTGACAAAAATAACTTTGATTTTTATCAGGCTTTGATAAGAACTGAATTCTCCCACTCACAATTTGGCATAGGTAATGATCGGAATTTCTCCCAGACCAGCTTCTGGCTTCATACATTTCAAACCTTGAGTCTCATCTTTACTACGTGTTTCAGATGCCGGGTGACATATGACATGTTTGTATTGTAATTCAACCTCTGGTCCTGACCTTCTGGTCACAATGCCCAGTGCATTGGCACATTGCATTCCTTGAAGCCATTCCTACACCAGGATGACTAGCAATAACTTAACTCTACATAGAAGTCCCTAGTTGCAACATAAATATATCCCATTAAACTGAATCTGCATGTAATACCAATACAATTCCTCATCTTAGCTGATTTCCTAAATTTCCCACAGCCATTCAACACAACCTGACCTGAGGGGAAATATTGCAGAGGGGAAGTTTAAACAGAAAGAGATAGCAGTCCTAATGGATTGATATTAAAATATTTTGCTATTTCAAATATTTCAAAAGCAGAACCACGGACACATGGTCCATCCAAGTGAGAAGCTCTGAAGCTTAGGCCACATTAGTTTCTTGGTTAATGTGATTCTGGCCTCTCGGATTGAGTAGAGAGCTATTGAATCTTCAATAAACAATTAATTATTAAAGAAAAACAGGAGGGAGGAAGAAAGGAAGAGATGATGAAGAAAACCAGAGAACAAGGGAAAAAAAGGAGGGAGGAAAGCTGTTTTAGCTAAATTTCAAACACTGATTTTCAGAATACCAAATTGTTTCAATCTGCTATTGTTATTTTGTTCTGCACAGACATGGCTAGATTTCTCACCATGTCCACTCATATTCTGCATTTGTCCCACTCTAAATTTTCTTCTGGAATGCACATGGTTTGGAGAAATGACAAAACACAGCCTTTCTAGTGGGCTTTAAACTTGAAGCTCTCCATTTGGGTTCTATTAAATGCTAACTGTCATCACATGGGGTATCAGAGAGGTGTTTTTCTTCAAAGCCCATATCCCTAAATGCATCACCTTTTATCTTCTCTTGTCTTATGATACCTCTTTTACTATAATACCTTATTTTACCTCTTTGTAAAATACACTATTTTCTACAGACTGGGGAAGTATTGGGAGGTTTCATATTTATAAAATTTACAGTTGTATGATAAAATAAATTTCAGGTATTTAGCATCATTTTACTTAATTTGCTTTCTTGGCTTGAGGCACAGATACATTTCACCGATTTCAACCCTCATTCAAAGAGGGAAGTTTGCTCTATAATGTAATCCTTTGGGTTATTGTTCCCTTTCCCCACCCTTCTATAATTCTGTCAAGCCAAAAACTGAGCTTTTTTACTTAACAACCTTGGTCTTTTTATGCCTGAAATCCATCTACCCTTCTCCTTTAAATTAAAATTCTTCATAGTGAAGGTACCGGAAACACACCTAGAATGTCTAATGTAACTCAGCCACAGAATTTTCTTGAACAAACTTCTACATTTTCTCTCCTTAAAGCATGGGGATAAACATTTCCAATAATCTTCATTCGATCTTCCTTTAAATTGCTTCTAGTACCTATTAGTTATTCCAAAATTATTTTGCTGGTTTTCAGTTCTTTACTTCCAAGTTCTCTACATCAAGTTCTCTACGTCAAGTTCTCTCTTCCTTTTTCATCTAAAAATCCCAAACTTCTCTAAAATTCAACCAAAAACTTCACCATTGAGGCCTTTCAAAATTTTTTGTTGATAAAAAAGGTCCCTGACTGAACTTCTAAGACAATGTTAGCTATCTACAACTGCACTATACAGCTGATTCTTGAACAACAGGGGTTTGAACTGCATGGATTCACTTGTACACAGATTTTCTTCCACCTCTGCCACCCCTGAGAGAGCAAGACTGTTGCTCCTTCTTCCTTATCTTCCTCATCCTATTCAACATGAAGATGATGGGGATAATGATGATTCATTCCACTTAATGAAAAGCAAATATATTTTTCTTAAGATTTTTAAATAACATTTTATTTTCTCTAGCTTACTTTAAGACAATATACGCTACATATGCAAAATATATGTTAATCAACTGTTTATGTTATTGATAAAGCTTCTGGTCAACTGCAGGGTGTTAGCAATTAAGATTTTGGTGAGCCAAAAGTTATACTAGAATTTTCAGCTGGGTGGGAGATCAGCACTCCTAACCCCCATGTTGTTCAAGGGTCAACTGTATTTTGATCCATACCATAGTCTCCCTAATCCACATATGAATGTTGAGTACAAGAGGGTGATTTTTTACATACATTAATTATATTTTTAATTCATTTCTTTAGACTATACAGCATTGGAAGGTTACAATTTTTGAAGCTGGAGCTCAAAAACATCTTCTTGTCTATCTTCTTGTCACCAACTAGTTACTCTGAAGTTTTACTTTTTCTTTTAATCAACGAAGTCTCTCATTAGTTTTGTCATTCTCATTCCTAATATCTGATATATTAGGAGTGTCTTTCCTTCATGTTAGCAAATTGTCATCTTTTGGACCTCCATCAGAGTGGATTTGTTTAATGGTCTGAATGACAATGAGGATATGGACTCTCTCTTAATAAGCCTTGAAAAATTAGATTCACAGAAATTTATCTCTGCTTAACTTCAATCATTTACATTGCGTGTGCTGAACTTCAAAGATTCCAGGTTAGACAATACCTATGAGATCATCCACACAGCTCCCCATTTGATGTTACCAAATGTTAAAACATCCTGTGCTTGAAGGAAAGCATGTTACTTCCAAGCTTTTCATTTTTAACTTTTAACAACTGTTGGGATTCTTTCCTATAAAAACTGATGTTTGTCTCCCTATAAGGTTCACCTGTTTAGCCCTGTTTGGATGCCTTGGGGCCACCAACAATAATATTACTTTCACATATTATTTTAGCAAGTGGTTTAATACAAATCCTGCATCCTCCCCAAGTCTTCGGTATGCTACACATCTCTTGAGCTAGTTTTCATTTTACAAGATTTTGAGTCTCCTCATTTTGGTTACTCTCCTATCTTCTTTCAACATACTATACTTTATCTATATCCTTGAAAATGTAGGATCCATAACTAATAATTATATTTGAGGTGAGAAAGGATGAGATGGGAAAAGTGAATAAATCACTGCCATAATTAATATTAAATATTAAATAATATATCACAGAACTTAAGAGCTCTGTACTGTCTCTGTGTGTGTGTGTGTGTGTGTGTCTCACTATCATACCAATTAATTGTGAAATTATTAAGTGGTATGTGCTGCTAAATGTTTAACAACTGGCTCTCAGGGGGAAGGAGAAGATAGTATTTGTAACATTTTTCAATTTCCATGATGTAAACACTCCCACCATGACATATTTCAAGCCATGAATGTGGCATCATTAAATACAGAGCTGGAAAATGATGCACAGCATAACATTATATAGTACGTCTACCATACAGATAAAACAGACATAAATAATCTCAAGAGCATAGATAACAGTAAAATAAAATAATTAAGAAGTGATGCATTTTCAGTATTTACCATTGTTTTAATATAATTATTTAATTTTGTGTTCATATAATTTAATTTGTAATAATGACTCTTTACCAACTGGCTTTCAAAATTCCTGAAAACTTAACAATTGGCTCACAAAAAATGACCCTATTGCCAAAGGCAATCTACAAAGTCAATGCAATTCCCATCAAAATACCACCATCATTCTTCACAGAACTAGAGAAAACAATCCTAAAATTCATATGTAACCAAAAATTGCCCACATAGCCAAAGCAAGACTAAGCAAAAAGAACAAATCTGGAGACATTACATTACCCGACTTCAATCTATACTATAAGGTCATAGTCACCAAAATAGGACAGTACTGGTATAAAAATAGGCACATAGACCAATGGGACAGAATAGAGAACCCAGAAATAAAGCCAAATATTCACAGTATACTGATCTTTAAAGCAAACAAAAACATAAAGTGAAGAAGGGATACCCTATTTAACAAATGGTGCTGGGATAATTGGCAAGCCACATGCAGAAGAATGAAACTGGATCCTCATCTCTCACCTTATACAAAAATCAACTAAAGACGGATCAAAGACTTAAATCTAAGACCTGAAATCATAAAAATTCTAGAAGATAACATTGGACAAACCCTTTTAGACATTAATTCAGGCAAAGACTTCATGACCAAGAACCCAAAAGCAAACGCAACAAAAACAAAGATAAATAGATGGGACTTAAACTAAAAAGCTTCTGCAGAGCAAAAGAAATAATCAAAGGAGTAAACAGACAACCCACAGAGTGAGAGAAAATCTTTGCCGTCTATACATCTGACAAATGACTAATATCCAGAATCTACAAGCAACTCAGTCAAATCAGCAAGGAAAATACAAACAACCCTATCAAAAAATGGGCTAATGACTTGAATAGACAATTCTCAAACGAAGATAAGTAGATGGCCAACAAACATATGAAAAAATGCTCAACATCACTGATTATCAAGGAAATGCAAATCAAAACCAAAATGTGATGCCATCTCACTCTTGCCAAGAACAGTCATAATAAAAAAAATCAAAAAATGAGATGTTGGCATGGATGTGGTGAAGAGGAAACACTTTTACACTGTTGGTGGGAATGTAAACTAGTACAACCACTATGGAAAACAGTGTGGAGATTCCACACTGTTTAAGAGCTATAAGTAGATGTACCATTTGATCCAGCAATCCTCCTCCTGGGTATCTACCCAGAGGAAAATAAGTCATTAATCAAAAAACGTACTCGCACATGCATGTTTATAGCAGCATAATTTGCAATTGCAAAAATATGGAGCCAACCCAAATGCCCATCAATCAATGAGTGGGTAAAGAAAATGTGGTATACCATGGAATATGACTCAGCCATAAAAAAGAAAAAAATAATGGCAATTGCAGCAACCTAGATGGAATTGGAGACCATTATTCTAAGTGAAGTAACTCAGGAATGGAAACCAAATATTGTATGTTCTCACTCACAAGTGGGAGCTAAGCTATGAGGATGCAAAGGCATAGGAATAATACAATGGACTCTGGGGACTCAGGGAGAAGGGTGAGGTGGGTGAGAGATAAAAAGCTACACGTTGGGTACAGTATACACTGCTTGGGTGATGGGTGTGCCAAAATCTCAGAAATCACCACTAAAGAACTTATTCATGTTACCAAACACCACCTGTTCCCCAAAAACCTACTGAAATAAATAAATTTTAAAAAATTGGCTCACAAAAGCCCATACTACCATGTCTAGAATACCACTAATTTACTCCAACTAGAATATCAAAACATTTATTTACACCATCCTGAACTTTTCAGTTGTATTATAGTTTTGTTTCATTTTTTTCACCAGGGTAAAATATTGGATATGTGTTCTTGTTTATTTCTATCTCCTTAGACAAAACCAATCACTTCACTCTGTCAATGTTCTTTAGATCTTAATTCTGTCATCCCAGATCTCCATCATCTTTATCCCTTCTGGCTTGTTTGTACACATTTAATGAGCAAGCCTTATATTTTTCTACCCAAGGTATTGAATTTTTCAAAAGAGAAAAAAAAGACCTTACAGGACAGAGCCAAGGACAGAATCCTTGGCCAGGCAAATTGAATTCTCCCTCCACACAAACATCAAATCATTAATCAGCATTGCTTCAGCAAGGTACTTTGCCTACTGAATTGCCTTTGCATCTAGTCCAAATTTCTTTCTTCACCTTGTGCATAAGACTCTAGAGAAATTATTTATTAAGTGCATAACTGAGTCCCGAATCCCTCACTTAATTCCTTCTTATGTCAGAGATAAAGGTTACATTCCCCCTATGCAAAGGTGATCACACTCTCCAGGATGCATCAATGATACCTCCTCTCATCTCTCTTTTCAACCTGACTCTCCTTCTACCTCCACTCTCTAGCATATAAACATAACATATAAGCTGTGCCTGAAAATATATTTTTCTCCACTCTGCCTTTTCTCCCATTTGGCATATTGCAGATTTCAGTTTTTTCCACTCTCCCTGGGCTTACTATTCCATCTGTCCCCCTTTATTCTCAGCAGATGACTAATACCATGACCTTGCTCCCACTTACAAAGTAGATGCATTCAGGCAGGGACTCCACCCATTTGCTGCTTTGCCACCTTCAGACTTATCAGCACCCGAACCTGGCCAAGTGGAGGTGGAAGCTTCCCCTCCATATTTGGAATATCATCTTCTCACAGTAATTCCTCAGAGACATTGGTTCTCCTATTCTGTCTCTTATATCATCACTCTCTTCTTCTCAACTGAATCTTTAACCTCATCCTTTAGATGGCTCTAGCCTCTTTCTTCTCTTTATAAGTAAAATATTATCCTTCAACTCTAGTTCTCCATCTTACTGTACTCCTTTGCCCACCATCTGCACTTGTTCACCCCATCTTCAATTCTCAGCTCTCAGCAATTTGCCTTTTGGGTTCACCACTCCATTGGGTCACCAGGAAGTTCATAGTTGCAACACACACACAAACACATACATATGGACGCTTATTATTTCTTACCTTATATGACTTCTCTGAAGCTTCAAGACTAACCACTTCTGTTTTGTATGGCTTTTTCTTTAATTTTCTCTTACCTTTGTTTCAATGACACCTTACTCTCCTAATTTTCTTTCTCCATCACTGGATGCCTTCCCTTTCTTTTTGTCAGGTTTCTCTTCCTCAGTCTCCACTTGCCTGGGCATTCTCAGCAATCCCCACAGCTTCCACCACCACCACATCTTTGGGTATGATTCTAAATTCTCTATTTTCAGCCTAGACCTTGTTGGAATTTTGCTTCAAATGTAGATCTCCATATGCATGATTCATTCTCCCAAAATGAACATTTTTTTCTTCCCCCTGCATCCTCTCACCAAAATATGCACCTCTTCCTGCAATCCCTATTCTTGTTTATAGGACTACCACTCACCCACTTGCCCAAGCCAGAAATATCCTGGAAACCTCTCTCTTTCTCTTCACCCACGTTCAATAAGTCACGAAACCTTCTAGATGTCAATACTTTAAATTCTCATTTTTTTGTCAGATTTTTTAAATGGTAGTTTTCCAATTACTTCTCCTGCCTGTAGTCTCACTTCGTTAATCTTTCCTCTACTTACAACCAGAATCATCTTTCTGAAACAAACCTGCCAGATCATGGTCCTCCACTACTTAATACCCCACAGTGGCTCTCAGTTCATGTCAGAAGCATGTCTAAATGCCTCATTATCACGTAACCTGTCTGCCTACCTCTCCAATGACATCCCTAAATATCTAATTTACTGCATTTTCTAAATACATCTATGCCTTAATGATTTCTATGTCTTTATACACACTGATTGCAATTCACAGAATAATTTTCCCCATTGTTTAGTGATTTAATTCTCATTTTTTCCAAGTAACAGGTAAAATAGACTCTCCTCTGTGAAAAATGACATTCCTCATACCACCATTTCTTATATGTTACAATTCTTTCTTGCACAGGCCACTGTCAAGCATTTATCACATGTTGACAGTATTTATTTACCTGCCTATTTTCATCACTAGATGGGAACCTGAAAGGTAACAAATTTGTTAAAGGAAGGAATTAAATTGTATTTATCTTTGTGTCTCCAGTTCTTAGCAGATGGCCCATCACATCTTAGGTAACTCAGTAAATCTTCACTGAATGAATGACTGTCCTTTATTTAATACATTATACCCCATTTAAAGAAAGAAATGTAGAAACTAGCCTGATTTGCTCTTGGTGAACAGAGGCTGGTTCTTTGGGATTAGTACTTTTTTATCTATTCTCAAAACATAATAGCAATATTCAGCTCTAAATTAATGAACCAATAATAATTTCATTAGTTTTATGAGTAAATACTTTTCTCCTCATTTTAGTTTTTTGAAAACAGAAATAAAATTTTCTTAAACCCAACTGTCTTGCCCCAGAAATGCTACTATACTCTGCCATTGCTATAAGACTCTTCACAGTTGGGTAACATTTTTTGGAGTGTATGTATGTATGTGCAAAACCAGGCATAGAAGAGATGTACCAGGAAGGCTTTAGAGCTATAAGTTACTGAACCCAATTAATAATGACTTAAAAAATTAAGAATTGAAGCAGGGTACAATGGGGTGAACCTGTAGTCTCAGCTACTCAAGAGGCTGAGATGGGAGTATCATTTAAGCCCAGGAGTTTGAGTCCAGTCTGGACAACATAATGAAACCATGTTTCTAAAAAAATAAAATACAATAAAAAAATAAAAATAAGAGTTGAACATTATTGTATAATAAGAAGCATAGTGGTAAGTAATTGCTTGCATTCATTCATCTCATGGATGGCATCGTTAGGGACCCAAGCTCTTTACTTTTGTATGCTCGGACATCTTTAACCATTTAGTGTGTGTGTGCCTTCCCCCTCTCTGCCTTCCTTCCATCCTATGGGTGTTGTCTCTCAAGGTAAAACGGCTGCTGCAGCTCCAGTTATTATAGATGCTTTTCAGGCAGGTAAGAGAGGAAGTGGGAGGACCAATACATGGCCCTTTTGTAAGAAAGTAACAGCTTCTCCAGAATCCTCCCAGCAATCTACCCTGTGCTGCATTGGTCAGAATTGAGTTGAACGATCATACCTGGACAGCAGGGAGGTTGGAAAAGTAAGTATCTTGCTTTTTCCCCCACTGTGTTCATAGCTGAAGGAAAGCAAGAGAGAGGGGGTTGGAAAACAGCTCCTGGTTGCCATAGGGGATAAAATCAGGTGTCATTCTCTAATCATTGTTCTGTTTCCCAGTTAGAATTGTTTTTCATCTTATATTACTCCATTGCTTTCTTAATTCAAAATTTTTATGGAACTTGTCTTTGAATAGTTTGGACATGGATTCTACTGTATTTCTCACCTATGTAACATCTATTTGAATAACATTTTCCCTGATATATTCGCTGGCATTTTTATAGCCCAAACACTAATGTTTTCTACCTGTCTTCTAAGCACTTTAGGTCCATTTATATTATTTTGTCTTCAATAAGTTAAATTTTAACATAATTTCACTGGGTGCCGCATACTCCCTTCTGGATCATGAATATAACACTAAATAGAACCAAATCAGAATGTATAATATTGACCTTTATGTCATCCTAACGGGAACATTTCTCACCAACTTTATGAATGCTCATTTTACAATTTCTTCACTTATCTAAACCAAATATTAAGCCTTTCTGTAGAATAAATGAAGATCAAAATCAAATGGAGCATCTGGCATTGTGCTCCAACACCCTTTATTTTATTGTTCAGATAACTGAGACTGAAAAATTAAAAACGACTAGTTAGTGTTTGAAATAATGCTAGAAACTGGCTTCTGGGCCTCCGGTTTGATGTTACTTCTAGTAGGTTGAGGTATGAAGGGGTTTGGTATGAGAAAGATGTCAGATATTAGAAGCATCAGACTAGTGGAGCAGAAGCCAAGGAGATGGAACTGTAAGGTTAGTTCCCAAAATGGCAAGGACAAAGCCCAGCTGAAAAGCATGGAGCAGGCTCAGGCATGGTTCAGGCAATCTTGGACACTAGGTCCAATGTGGTAGGACAGAGCACAGCAGTGGGTGAGCCCTTGGGAGCCAGGCAGGTGGCAGTCATGGTTCTGGGTGACGTGCCCATATGTTGCAGAATCCCCTCCAGAAGGATGAGTTCAGGCAAAGCTCCAGTTCCTGGGGTGGAGCGCTGACAGGTGCCAGGTGGGATCCAGGCTCTAGCCAGATATACTACAGTGCAGAATTGGGCTCTGGGCATAGGGAGAGGGATGCCTGTCTCATGGTAACTGGTCACAAACCAAAAAGAAGTAAGTTAAGCAGAAGTAAGATAACACAGCCAGGGCTAATTATCAGGGGGAGTACTCTAACATGGGCTGCAAGGACACCTACAATTCACTCTGAAATTACAGTTTTTGGGTCAAATGGGCAGGAAAAGATAGTTGTAAGCCATGAAAAAACCCTAGCAGTCATAGATAAATTTTCAGGCCTCCAGTCTAGGTGTCTAGATTTATTTCAAGACCTCACCAGCCTCAATAAGCACTGCCTCAGGATGGGAGACAGGGCTAAGCCTATAGGCTTGAAGCTCTGTTGAATGCAGTTGGGAGATCAGGACACCATACCGGGCAGTTGCTAAAATCCAATTTACACTTAATGTTTGACCTAAAATTATACTGTGGGTGGAGGATGGAAAAAGGCATGTAGGGATCTACAAATCTCAATTTAATGATTCCATATGATTCCATAGTGGAAGTTTTATCTTGTACCTTTTTCTTTTTTAAAGCATATCAGTTGTAGGTGCTATTTTTAAATTCTTTATCTACAATATGCTTACAGATTTATGTCTTAATATAGTTGTGTTATTAGTTTATGTTCATTTTAGACTTTCTTTAGTGTCAACTTAGTTTTCAGGGCCTTTTTAAGAAATAGAGGCAACATGAAAACTGTCCTTTATGGATCATAAGAATATATCCATTGAAGATGGAGAGAATGCATGGCAGTCAGGCTTCTTTATGGTCAATTCAATTGGGTCGTTAAGGTGACTAAGATCGCCAGACCATGAAACACTTGCTCCAATCATTTCATCCATCTTAATGACTAAATCCAACCAAGTGCACAACGATACAATCAATTGCTCAGTAACTATCCATTACAATGGCAGAAAGCAAAACAAAATAAATTGGCAGTGTTTTGATCAGTTCAGTAAAGCTACACAGACAAGATTGCCAAGCATATGCTGGCTCCTAGTTTTTATGCCTTTTGTGATTCACATGCATTTCCCTCATTCCAATTGCTTAGAAATACTCAACTCACCAAGTTTTTATCTTCAACTTTGCTTATTACTGTTTCTGTTGATTTTACTTTTCTTCATTTATTCTATTAGGACAGATTTTTAAAGCAATCGGTACTTATTTTTTTAGCCAGCTTTCATTTTATATCCCTAGTTATTTCTTATGTCTTATTAGAAAAACTATTTTTTTCTGTTTCAGTTTTCTCTGCTACATTTGTATGAGCCTTCTAATTTGCTTACTTCTCTTTGAAAGCATTAACTCAAGCAAAACACTAGTATAAATTACACATTTTACACATTAGCAAAGATATAATAAATGCATCTGACGTTTTTGCATTTACCTAAATGTACTTAGCTTAAATATATACCCACCTATGTATTTTTAGATTAGCTGTAATCCACATCCAAATACTTAACCATCTATTCTAGATATGCCATCTCATATCTTGCAAGTGGATTGGTCTGTTTTTTTCCCTCATGAATTCTCCTTAACTGAATATCCAGCTTTAATATTGCGTATCTTTTCATAGTGGTCAGATTCCACTGCTTTAACACTTGCTTTGCTCTCAGCTTTTCTAGGCTGAGCGTACACAACACTTCATTAGCCAGAAGTGAAATTTTTGGTAAACTAATAGTTGTCTTTTTGTGTGAATTTGGGGAAAAATTAACTTTTTTTCTGATTTTTTAAATGAAATGATTAGAATTGACAAAACGCTTGGTACATGTAGTCACAGAAAATAATTTTGTAAAACTTTTGTTTCCTGAAAAGACTTTTGACTGAAGAGAATGTTTTATATAAAAAATATAGCTTCTTTTTTAAAAAGAAAGCTGGATCAGAATTATCTCCATTTTCTATTAATCTTTTTTCTTATAACCTGATAACTTTTGAGTGTTGCATTATTGGTGTGTGTATGTATATGTGTGTGTGTATGTATATGTGTGTGTGTGTATGTGTGTGAATACATATATATGAGTGCATTTTTTATGGCAGTTATCATAGTTAAAATAATAACAGTAGGGGACTCACTGCAACAACTTTAGTATGGATGCAATGTGCAATTGCCTCATGTTATGCTACTGGAATGGATGATAGTTGAGGTCAGATAAAGTCATGGACAACCAATTGGATCAGGAAACTGATTATAAGGATTAATGATGGACAGATGTGGATCTGATGGGGTCAGGGTGGGCAGCTGTTATTAAGGGTGCTTGAAGTCAGAGAGACAAAGTTCCAGGCAAGGCAGTCAGATGGGTGGGTGGCTCTGGATGTATAAGAGAGCACTTCAGACAGAATCTATCCATGGTCTGGACAGCTCCCTGGAAGTAGCTTTAACACATTTGACAGCCTGAGAAGACTTTTAGTCTCAAAATCTCGGACTTCTGGGTTGTCTCTTCTAGAACAGTGGTCCCCAACCTTTTTTGGCACCAGGGACAGATTTTGTGGAAAACATTTTTTTCCACGGAGAGTGGGGCATGGGCATGGTTTCAGGATGAAACTGTTCCACCTTAGATCATCAAGCACTGGTTATATTCTCATAAGAAGTGTGCAATCTGAATCCCTCACATTCGCAATTCACAATAGGGTTAGCGTTCCTATGAGAATCTAATGCTGCCACTGATTTGACAGGAGGCAGAGCTGAGGTGGTAATGCTGGCTCCCCCGCTGCTCACTTCCTGCTGTGTGGCGAGTTCCTAACAGGCCACAGACCAGTACCCGTCCACAGCCCTGGTGTTGAGGACCCCTCTTCTACAGAGCAGAACTCCAGTTAGCTTAGTTGACCCAAACTGTTGTCCCTGTATAGATTTCCTCTTATAATTAGTATACATTAACTAAAGAATCATCTCCATAATTTAAAAGACCGTCCCCGATACTGTTCTCATGGTAGTGAATAAGTCTCACGAGATCTGATGGTTTTATAATGGGAAACCCCTTTCTCTTGGATTTCATTCTCTCTCTTGCCTGCCACCAATGTAGGATGTGCCTTTCGTCTTCCATCGTGATTGTGAGGCCTCCCTAACCATGTGGAACTGAGTCCATTAAACATCTTTTTCTTTATAAATTACCCAGTCTTGGGTAGCATGGATTATCTGAATTTTATAATGATAATGTAGCATGGATTATCTGAATTTTATACTGATAATACAAGGATTATCTGAAGAGTTTTAAATTGGCTACCATTGCTTCTTCTTACAGTTGTGTTTTAGTCCATTTTCATGCTGCTGATAAAGACATACTAGAGACTGGGAAGAAAAAGAGGTCTAATTGGACTTACAGTTCCACATGGCTGGGGAGGCCCCAGAATCATGGCAAAGGCACTTCTTACATGGCGGCGGCAAGAAAAAGTGAAGGAGAAGCAAAAATGGAAACCCCTGATAAACTCATCAGATCTCTTGAGACTTATTCACTATCACAAGAATAGCATGGGAAAGACCAGCCCCCATAATTCAACTACCTCCCCCTGGGTGCCTCCCACAACACATGGGAATTCTGGAAGATACAATTCAAGTTGAAATTTTGTTGAGGACACAACCAAAGCATATCAAGATGTAAGAGTTGAGAATTTTTTGAAGTTCATACTCATCTCATTAACTGCTGGAGAAAATACTCTAGACTTTGTGTATATATCATTGCTATGGTCAGCTAGAGGAAGAAAAATGAATGAGAATGTGGTAATATAAGAAATACATTTGTCCTTTGTCCCCTGTTTTTGGCACAAGAGTGCCTAAAACCCTAGGAATTTATTGAGTGATAGGAATGTCTATTGTTATTCATAAGGAGCCCCTTTGGATAACTCTTTTTATGAGATGATTTATGTTGGGGCTTCTAGATAGCCTCAGGATAAGAGCTGATCACTAGAAAGACCACATGTGTATTAAAAGAATGGGAACTCTCAGCTCTGCCTCTTGACCTCTGGGGAGGAAAGGAGCAGCTGGAGATTGGGTTACAAAAAGCACCCACCCCCACCCCCAGCTCTTTTTTCTTTTTTTTTTTTGAAATGGAGTTTTGCTCTTGTTGCCCAAGCTGTAGTGCAATGGCACAATCTCAGCTCACTGCAACCTCCGCTTCCCCAGTTCAAGCGATTCTCCTACCTCAGCCTCCTGAGTAGCTGGGATTACAGGCGCCTGCCACCATGCCTGGCTAATTTTTGTATTTTTAGTATAGATGGGGTTTCACCATGTTGGCCAGGCTGTTCTCAAACTCCTGACCTCAGGTGATCCACCCACCTTGGCCTCCCAAACTACTGGGATTACAGGCATGAGGCACCGTGCCTGGCCATGGGTTACAAAAACTCTTGAAGAAGGAGGTTGGAAGAACTTCCAGGTTGGTGAACATTTCCACTTGCTCAGAGGGTGGCATGCTCAGAAAAGCCATGGAAGCTCCACATCTCACCCTTCATACTTTGCCTTATGCATCTCTTCCATTTGGCTATTCCTGAGTTGTATCCTTTATAATAAAATGGTAGGTGTAAGTAAAATGTTTTCTTGAGTTTTGTGAGCCAACCTTGAGACAACCTAGCAAATTATCAAACATCAGGAAGGTGTCATGGGAACTTCCGATTTATAGCTGGTTGGTTAGAGTGTCGGTGGTCTCTGAAACTTACCATTGGTGCCTGAAGTCTTATGGGACTGAGCCATTAAACTGTGGGGTCCAAATAGTGTCAGAATTGAACTGCTGGAAACTAAGTTGGTGTTATAAAATTGGAAAGCTGGTTGGTGTCAGAGAAAACGCCCCAGAGGGGAATATTAGTTTGAAAGTCATTGACAGATTCAATCAGTCAATTCACGGGTTTTAAAAATGATAAGACAGAGAGAGAGTACTTGATCTAATTGTACCATAGATCTTTCCACAATAAAACATGAAAAATTTTCTATCGACCCGAGTAGTGTATTACAAGGAACATGCAATTTAGGGACAATTTATAGTACATTAGTTTAAGCAGTCTAACGTAATTTTGTCAGCAATTAAGTCTAATTTCTATTTCTCACTCACAACAAGCCAAAGTATCAGAAGAATGCACCTACTCTTTATCACTTGTAAAATGATAAAAGCAAGGGCTGCTTGATCAACAGTAAATTATAGCTACAGAGAAAAAGAGAGCAGTTCTCATGTTGTATCCCTATTCTTCATCCTTCCGTCTGCCAACTCTCCGAAGATAGAGCTGGATAACTGAGGAAAGGCAAGTGTTATCCATATCAGTTATGATTTATTTTTGCTGTAAGTAAAAAAACCTGAAAAATAGTGGCATAAACAGAGATGGGACTCCTTTATCTCATGTAACAAAAAATATCAAGGTAGATAGTCCAAGGCTGATGTGGCCATTCAAAGGTGCTCTTACGAATTGAGGTTCATTGTATCTTCTTTCTCCATCTCTAGCCAGGGCTTCCATCTTTGTGGTTACAAGATGACGGTTACAATTTTGCAAATCATCAATGTTCCAGGCAGGAAAGTGAAATGACAAAAGCTAAGGGCAAAAGGAATTGAAAAGCCAGTTGTCTGTCCACTTTTAAGAGACTTTCCATAAAGACCCTCCAGTGATTTCTGCTTATATCTCCGGGGAAACTGAGTCACATGACCACTCATAGCTGGAGGAAGTATGGGGTCATTCATATTTTAGCTGAGCATATTTTATACTTAACAAACAACCCCATAGCTCTGAGGCACAGATTAAGGGAAAATGGATATTGTGCTAACAAATAGCACTGATCCTTTTACTAACTACAGTATAAACACTGACCACCTACAAAACAAAACATGACTTCATAGTTACTGACTAAATAATTTCAAGTTTCAAACACAATTCGATTATTATACCTTTTCCTCAGGAGATGTTCTTCTTCCTCTTATTTCTCTCCCTCTGCCTTCTCCTCATCTTCTCATTCTTTTGGTCACATCTCCTCCCGCATCTCATCTCCCCCTTTGGGCATTTGTTCTCTCTTGTATTCTTATTTCTCTTCTTCCCTTTGCCTCTCTTATTGTATCCTATACTCACTTAGTAAAGACTTACACTTTTCTCTAGCCACTTGCTCCATTTATATACTGTTGTATAACAAACCACTGCTGAAGTTTGACAGGGGTCGACTAACATTTTCTATAGAAACTGTAAAGTAGACATTTTCAGGTTTATGGGTCATATAGTCTCTGCCATTGTAATGCAAAAACAGCCATAGATAAGATGTAAACAAATGAGCCTGCCAGTGTTTCAGTAAAACTTTGTTTACAAATAGGTAGCAGGCCAAATTTGGCCTGCAAGGCTATAGTTTGCAAATTTCTGGCTTAAAACAACATGGCTATATCATTTCTCACAATTCTTGGAGTTGACTGACTCAGCAGAGCAGTTTTTCTGTTCCATAGCACAACTGAGGTCACTTATGTGGTTGCATTTAGCTGATAGTTTAACTACAGGCGGAACATCAAGGGTGGCTCCTTATCCTCCAAGGCCTCTCTCCACATAGCTTCTGATGATTCATCAGTCTGATCTGAGCTCTTTTATCTCATGGAATATGGCTTCCAGGAAGGAATGGACCAAGAGTTCAAGCCCCACACTGCAAGTGCTTATCAAACCTCTTCTTCCATCATTTTGCTAAAATCTCATTGGCTAACAAGAGTCACATGGATGATCCCTGAGACAATGTGGGAGGGGACTACACAGGCGTGTGACTCCTGGGAAGCATGGATCATTGGGGGCCACCAATGTGACAGACCACCACAGTCTGCCTTCAGGCCCTCAATTATTCATGTCTTTCCTACATTCAAATTATGCTTACCTTCTTTCCAGGACCCACAAAATGTCTTTACTTTAGCATCCGGTTCAGGCTTGGCATCTAGCCTCTTGGCATATAAATTAGTTTCAGTTCCAACTTTATTGTTACAAGGTGACAGTTACAATTTTGCATAGATGACAGCCCTGGGGTGTGGTTCCTCAGGTACAGAGAAATGTGAAGTAAAACAAGAAATCTGCCCCCACTCATCCAACGCTCAATGATAAAAAAGAGAAATAATCACTGCAGTAGACATTTCCTTTCCAAAAATGTAAGTGAGGAGGAGGGCCAGAGGTACACAACTATTGCCCCCATAGCAATTCTGTCATCCACTGAGCACATGTCACTTGGGAAAAGGAAATGTTTGTTGTGCTTCCTGAGAGCAGTTTCTGAATCCATTGCTCTTTTCAACTCTGATCTTCTGAGTTCTTGACTCCACTTTGTGAGATGGCTTTCCTTTCCCTAAAGAACGGCTCATGCCTGCAGCTGAGTAGTACTCTCAGGCCATTTCCTGCTGAGAGTAAGTTGGTGACTCAGAGGCTTCTTTTCATTTTGACCTGTCCCTTTGTATCCAAGCTGATACAACTCCTTTAAAAATGGTATGGGCTTTCTATATATCAAATTTAAAATTTAAAATGCATTGCATTACACAAAATCTTGCACACACAAATCTCTTTACGTAGGTCTCTCCCTAATTTGGGCTGAGAGTAAGTATGTTGCGTAAAATGTCCATGAGATCTTCAGAAGAGATTCTTTTTCTAGCTGAGAGGTTGTAAATCTTTGACCTGATATTTACTCTTAGGCCTCATTTTACTGATAGCCCCATAGAGTTGATCGTTATACCTGAGGACATTTCTTACTTTAAAAAATTTTGCCAGCTGGAGATAGAAAAAATGAGAGACAGTTGTATTGTCTAACCCAGAAAGTCCTGAGCTGGAAATATTTTCTTTAAATTCTGTCGAAAACTCAATAGTACTCTAGCTTCTCTCCGTTTTTCTTGCAATATCTTATCACAGATAACTTAAAAAACCAGTTGACACATTCAGTGTTTTGCTTGGAAATCTCTTTAGCTAAAATTTCAAGTTACTAGTTATTTTCTTTTATCTTGCCTTCTACGTTACCACAGGTGACAATCTCCTTCATTTTTCTACTAATATATAACACAGGTTCCTTTTTCTCTAGCCTTCAGTAGAAATTTTACTGGTCTTCCAGCCTCTACCCATCATTTCCTCACTTTTCAGGCCTCCATCTTCTATCTAGTCCCAAATCCTGTATTAATCATGTCTTTTATATTTTGTATTTGATGATGCTTTGACATCTTGAGGGCCTTGCTGACACAGGAGAGACTGCCCCTTCCAGAGCTAGCTAATTCCTAGAGATAGCAAGAAATTCCCCCAAAAGCACACTTTTTCTATGCAAAAGAACTTTCCTAGTCTGCTTGGGCTATTCTAACAAAAGATCATAGACTGAGTGGCTAAAACAACAAACATTTATTTTTCACATGGGAGGCTGGGAAATCCAAGATCAGGGTTCCAGCATGGTCCGATTGTTGGCAAGCCTTCTTTTCCTGGCTTGCAGATGGCTGCCTTCTCACATAGCCTGTCATGGCAGAGAAGGGAAAAGGTCTGGTCTCTTCTTCTTCTTCTTAAATGGTCACTAATTCCATCTGGGAGGCCCCACACTTATGACCTCATCTAAATCTAATTACCTCCCAAAGGCCCAAACTCTGAATTCCATCACATTGTGGGTTAAGGCTTCAACATATGAATTCTGGGTGTGACACAAGCATTCAACCTATAATACCAAGCAATCTAGGGCCCACTCCCCAATTAACTCCTTTATGAAGATTTCACCTGTCATTCACTGCCCTAATCACCCCAGGGATAAATATGAGACAACTCAGGACAGCTCCTACACCCCAGAGCCCACTAAAATCATTCAAATTCTGCAATCCTAAACCTGCTTAGCCTAATCAGCCGGCCTCACTCATTGAGCACCATGAACACCATAATAAGGACTTTTGCCCATGCTTTACCTTCACTTCTTTTGCTTCCTGACAGACCCTGGTGCTTCCCCATGTGGCCCTGCATAGCATGGCATGCCATCTCCTCTTGACAACTGTGGGTAATCAATCGTCTTTTCCTGACATCTCTGTTGTCTTTCATTTGGACTTGAATTACAAAACAAACAAACAAACAAAATATATCCCAGGTATATTGAAAGACAATTCAATGCCGTTTCCTTTAGGTTTTTGTAGGGAATTGCTATGTTAATATTTGTTGCTATGTAAAAATTATCCGAAACCCAATGGCTTAAAACATTAATGATTTATTATTTCTCACAATTCTGTGGGTTGACTGGTTCAGCTGAGCATTCTTGTGCTTCATGTAGGACAGCTGAGGTCACTTAAGTGGCTGCATTCAACTGGGAGTCAGCTGGGGCTGGATGTCCAAGGTGGTGCTTCAGGGCCCCTCTCTACTTGTCTTCTCATTATTCATTGTCAAAATCAAGCTTCTTTAAAATGTGGGAGCTGGTTTTCAAAAGCAAATGTTCCAAAAGACAAGCTCAATCTGCAAATATTAGGCCTCGCTTGAGTCATGCTTACTAATATCTCATTTTCCAAACCACTGAGTTTCCAACTCCATGTGGGTAGGAACTACTGAAGGGCTGAATATCAAGAGGTGTGGGTCCTTGGGGCCCACCAATGTTGTTACAGTCTACCACACTGCTATACATAATGCTATTCCAAGTTTCTTTTTGCTTTAGGGGATGGCCCATGGACAATAGCAGAAAATGTATACATGTAAGGATGTAGTGAAGACAAAAGACCTGTGAAATAAGGATGTAGACAAAACAACCCTAGTGGCTTGGTTTTTTACTACTCAGCTGGGCATTTTGGCACCCTAAAGACACAACTTTGCATTTTGAAAGAATGTACCTTCATTTAGGATTAATTGGTATTGCACTGCCAGTAAGCTTTTATTTAATTGATATCCCCTTCACTATTAAACAGGCCTACTGTGGCTAACTATATTTGGGACTACAAGATTTTCCTTCCAGTTATAAAAATATTTTTCATTATTGTCATTTGTTTTTGTTCCCTTTTCCTACATAGATTCCTCTCGTTACATTGACATTCTGAGAAGAGATAGTCCTCAGCAATTATCCACATGGAAATATATACTACTTATGGCAGTCTGCTCTTGCTTGTTTCCTGTCTTGCTAATTTTGTGAAGTTGGTTATTTATGAAGAGTTACTTGATTACAGAAATAACTTGCCTAAGCCTAGAATTGTGGTAAAGACTTGGACAATTAAGGTCATCTACATGAGTCTGAATCACTGAGATAAATAGAGGAAAATCCAGGCTACCATCTGACTATCAAACATCTAGATACTTGGGGATAGCTTTAGAGTTTTAAGTCACATAGTGAAAGCTCTCAAAATGAGAGATGCTTTATTGAGAGGATGAAAAATAGCAGGGCCTGTGTTCATCAGACAACTCACTCCAGAGGTAGTCCTGAGCCAGGCCTCTCTTAAATATAATTACTACTACACTCTGTACATTAACCTCTGCTTATGCCTTCTATTTACAATGCATCGCCACTTCTATGTCTCAGATTAATTTACATAACCTCTGTCTTGGAGTCCTCTGAAAGTTTTACAAAGTAGGATCTAGCAATAACATGTGAGAAAATTACTTGAATTGCCACTGTAAAATATAGATCCCTGGGCCTGATCTCAGATTCACAACATCAGTCTCTTAGGTTTGAATTCTGTAAACTGCGTTTTAACACGTGTCCATATTTGCTTTTATAGATACTAAAGTTCAAGAATCACCTTTGTAATGGGAAAGACAAAATGGAGCATGAAACCCAACCCAAGTGAAGTAATGTCTATGGAGGGACAAGATCTGTTTTTGGCAAAATCCAGAATTGAGATTTGTCTGTGGGGACCTTCTCATCTCCCTTTCATCTTTGCTCCCTTTCATTCTTCAACAGTTCACCAGTACTATGATTTGTCTTGCTTCCACTATGAGGTAGGCACTGGGTCTTGGGCTTCACTAAATCCTATGCGATGAGCAACAGTGTCATCCCTCCATTTTGCAAGTGAGGTTAAGGAGCATTTGTTGAAGACCAGGAGCTAAGAAAAAGTAGAGCTGGGATTTAAACTGAAATCTGCTCCCTAGTCACCTGCTTGAGAAACTAATTCATATCAGCGTGTTAGTGGCATTAGGTTTTCAGGTCCTTGAGTGTCCCCCCATCTGCCCTCTGGCTATCCCGTTTATAAGGACTGTCAATGCCAGCACTCTCTTTTTTTAAAGCCACTCTCCAGTTTCCTTTGTATAAATATTTCCCAATTCTTTATACCAAAGGATTAGAGGCTCCCCTCCTCAGCCCTCTCTGGAATGTTTGTAGGCAAAATGCAGCCTCTTTGGTTATACAACTAGCTAAATATCCCCAGGAAAAAAAAAAAATGAGTACAGGGCATCTTATTGCAGAAACCCTGTCTTGTTCATACATGACTCCAAAGAGCATAAACTCCATGTTTATGTTTCAGTCGTTATTCTGGCTCCAGCACCCAGAAGAGTGTTTGGTGTATCAGGACTCACTAAATATTAATTGAATAAATGAATGAGCAAACCCATTTTAACTTTATGGCTCTCACCAGAAACTCAGAAGGTAGAAAAACTCAGATCTGGATTTAAAGTTCTGGGAAGGGAAAGTTGACCTTCTAGACAGGGCAACACTTGCCCTTGCCCTGTGTATTTACCTCAGTAAGCAACAAGCTGTAGCTGTAACCTAATGTGTGGCCAAGGAATGGGAATTTCAATGGTTTCACTAGGAATATTTGGTCAAATGCTGATGGGTGTCTGTATTAAAGCTAAGCTATGCGTTTTCTGATAAATGTATAAATTTATTCTTTCCCTTATTAAACAAATGTTTATTGAGTACCTACTGTGTACCAGACACAGTTCCATGCACTGAGAATACATCAGCTAAAAACATAATCAAAATTCCTAGCTTTCATGGAGTTTATTATATTCTATTTGGGGAGTGGGAATGAGGTAGCAGTTGGTGAAATGGAAACAGAGACCATGACTAGTCTGGTTAACAGAAAACTACAGAAGGACAAACACTCAGACTATGCATTGAGGAGGGAGGAAAAACCACTTGAGCATGATATATGAGAGAGTTGCACAGTGCATGGTCCTTTCTGCACAGGGCTATCACTCCAGAAAGGGCTAGGATCTTGGGGATGGGCTTGGTCTGAGGGAAAAAATGATGCCAGAAGGTAGTTACCATGGTGATACTCTACAGTTTCCCCTTCTCTGGTCTCCCCAACCTTTGCAGCCTGCATTTCTATGCTGAAATGCAAGGGTAGAAAGACTGTTTCCTGTTCACTACGAAGCTTGTAGTATAGGTTGATCTGCTTTGAATGCTACAGAAATCCTGAGCTTGTACATCAGGGTCTGCTGTGGAATGGGTGACACGTGCAGACAGAGAGGCTGTGCCTGCTTACCCTGGGCTGGCGGGGTGCATGAGGTGACATTGCGGGGGAAGACTATGCTTCATCTTGCTCCCTCTCCTGAGTCCAGCCCTGCCTTTGGGCCTCGGTGACACACAAAAGTTTTTGTTCCTCAAAGGCCAGGAACATTTTCCATTTTGAGACCCAAACATGAGTGTTTGGGCAATCTCAAACAGAATCAGCCTGGGCTCTCCTTCCTCCTCTAATCCATATGTATCTGAGAGTAGTCTGAATGTTTGAGTTTTTGTGTTCACCTGTTCTGTGAAAAGAACTGGGATTTATGGTCCCCGAATTATCATTTTGTCTTCTTCCAGAAAATATCTTGACCTACTCCTTCTTGAAGGACTGGTACATTTTTATCAGTGTCTCACTCTTTATTTCCTTTTAAAATGCAAATAGTCTAGGGAAAGTTAAATTATTAAATTCTTAACACGTGCTCATGAATTAATTTCTCAGGTAGGTGACAAGATAATTAAGATTAAGAAAACTGGTAGGATAGGTAAAAGGTGTATATGGGTGCAAAGAATTGGGGGACTAGAGCAAGAGATTGAAAAAAGAATGAAAATAAGCATACATTCACACAGAAACACACACATGCACACAACTTGAGATCACCAAAGCCAAACTTCTCTTTTGCTCTTCTTGCTTGGGACATACCCAAAGTGTGGCAGTTCAACAGTAAGCTGTAGGGATAAGTGCTCGAGCTCTGGAGTTAGAGAAAATGGGTTCTGACCCTAATTCATTTCTTTGTATCTATATTACTTGCTGCAAGTTACTGAATCTTTCTGACCCTTAATTTCCTTCATCTGCAAAAAGGGATAATAACACTTATTTCTTAGGAGTGTTGTGAAGATTAAATAAGATGATGTATACTGAGTGATTGGCACAGTGCCTAATACATAATAAATCAAATTAAAGGGCAGTGAGCTTCAGTATACATTTGGGAGGACTCTTGGCTTTTAGGAAAGAAGTCAGAAGACCCCAAGTCCCTCCCATCTCCTCTGCTGCATTATTTTTCTGGAACGGATTAGGGAGGGGTTGGCAAGAAAGAACAGATGATGTCCCTATGCTATTCACACTGGCCTAACCAGAATCTGCAAATATTTCTCTTCAAACTGGGCAGCACTGAGGCATTTACTTCATCGCACAATGACTTTCTTCTCTAGCTACTGCTTCTCCAGCCAGCATGCAATTAGCATGATTGCTAGTTCTCGCTGGGGCCCTGAGCTCCAGGAGATATTAGGGTGAGGACAGGGCAGCCTTGTGGGAGATGCTCTCTCAATGCCAGCCAGGCTCTCTCCTAGCTGGGAAATGCTGACGCTCCAACATCAAATATAGCGCCCCTCCCCCTTCAGTCTATTCTCTTCTTCTTTCTGCTTCTGCACAAGATGCAGGCACACATCCTCTGGGGTTTTATTTCTAAGTCTCATTTCACCTTTTGCTCTCAGCCTGAGGCTTTTGCTAGAGAATTTTGGAGAGTGAGAGCAGAATTTGGATTCACCTTTATAAACAGAAGCCAAGATTCCCAGAATCAGCTGCTGGCTCCCCAGGTTCCCCAGCTTTGGCTTCAAACTTTGTCCTCAAGTGGCCTGGTTCATTGACCAGGGAACTTCCATTGAATCCATGGCAAGGAAGAGAATGTGAGGCAGTCCCATTGGGCTTTGAGCAGGAAGAGAGCAGTTGAAGCTATAATTCCTCAGCTTGTTACCAAGGGTGGCTAATGGAATAATCAGTGCCTTTGTAGCAAGCCTTCAATATTAGTGTGAAATTAGCTTGGTTAAATACCCAAGGCAGGAGTGTGCATGTTCATGCATACATGAAGGAAAGGGATTTAGTGAGTCTCCTGAGAAATGTTCTTTTTTCCAAGGCTTACCTTCTCCACCCACTTTTGCCCCCCTCCATCCCCAGCAAGGTGCTTGGTTTTTAACCCCATTCTGACCCCAAGTATAAATCTGGTCATCATTAGGAGAATGAGCAGGGTTTGTTCTTGTCCATCTGTAGACAATGGTCACTCAGCCTTTTGGCATCTTCCATAATAATTGACGAGAAAAATGATTATGTGGGGACTGTAGAATATGGTTGCTCAAGTCTGAAATCTCTTTGGGACAATTACTCTTATGCAAATAATTGATGTAAAGCTGAGTTTCCTCCTCAATAAAATGTTGATAGCAGCATCTACCTCAGAGGGTTGCAGAAGAGTTAACTAGGCTAATGAATATAAACTGCCAGCACAATGCCTGGCACATCATAAGCACTTATTAAATGTCAGATGCTATTAATAATCCTCTATGTCTTTATAGCACTTAATTATTTTCAAAGTACTTTCACGCAGTCTCACATGACTCTCCTAACCAACCCATGAGGCATAAGATGCAAACTACATAGTATTATCCTCATTTTTACAATTAGAAAATTAAGTTAGCACAGGATTAAGTATCATAGCTGTAATTAATGAGAATCCATTCCTGTCCCACGCCCTTTCCACCACCCCACAGCTGCCTTAAGAAACCAGACTAGGAGAAATTCACTATTTACATCAGAAAAAGCAGGAGACCTGAATTATAACATGTGCTTCTCATCAAATAACAACCTCTCTGAGTCTGGCTTTTGTATTTGTGATGTTAGAGGACTCCTTCCAGGGCTGATAATCTGTTGCCTTCAATTCTCTCTTAATAACGGAGCTGGGTCCAGAGATATGCAGAAAGGAGAGATAGCCACTGCTCACTGGTCCTCATCCTCTACCACTCCCATGACCCTGAGAATGTATTGCCTGTATCACAGCTATTTCTGTGAATATATTATCTTCCCAAGTAGAGCTGAGCTCCAGGAGAGCAGGAGAACAATTTTACTTAATTGTGCTTCCTCTAAAGCAGCTAGCACAATACTTTCCACATAGTTAGGACTCAATAACTACTTGTAGATTGATGATTTTGTAATTTGGAGCTCTAATTCAGGACTAACTAATGCCTGTGTGAAGGTCAGCCTCATTATCCTATTAAGTATTTGGTATTCTTATGATTCTAACCATTTCAGTTTGAAAACTGTAGCTTTAAATGCTGTGTGTGGTGCTGTGTGAGGGGCTGTGTCATTGTGAAGTTACCTTTTTCTCCTTATGTTAACAAAGTCTGTAAAGAGAGATTTTGAGGTTACATAAATATCCTGTTTCTTATCAAACTTTCACCAATTGTTATAGCACCCATTGATGATTCTTACCTGACTGCCATGGATAACTAAAATGGTTTTACCAAGAGGGTAGAAGGGGAACACATCTCTATAATCTAATATATTGTTTAAAAAATGTCAACTGCTCCAGAGGTCCCAGAGACACCCATTATAATCCTTGTTAGTGAAAAGAACCAAAAGTAAAGTTTTGCTGTATATACCAGCATTAATCTTTCAAGATATTAGTTAAAAATGTGCCCCTGAGACATGTGCTAGACAAAGCGAGGAACACCCTCAATTAGGGGTAGCTGACAATCATCTATTACATGTGAGGGCAGCGATTGCAAAGAGGAGACACACTGCCACGCTCCATCAGGGATCCTTACTTTGCAGTACTCAAGTAACCTCCCAATCTTTTGGAACACAGAGTCTTAAGCAGCCATAATAAATGAACTGAAATTGACATGTCAGATCAAATCTATTTGGCATCTCTGATGTGGGGAACACATTTATAAGGAAAAGCAACTATATCAATGGCATTTCTCCCTTTATGTGGACTTGGATTCCAAAGCAATCACTTTGCAACTTTCAAATAAATTAGGTAACTTTCTCTGGACTATGATCATGAGTAATTGAGGGCCTGGGTTATTGTATATTCTATAGTCAACTTGTCTTTCCTTTAAAATTGAACTTTAGCATGACAGCAAAGTTGATCAGTCCACTAATGAGAAATGGTATACAAAAATAATAAACTACTTGAAGGAATACAAACAGGTATATTCTAAAGAAATATAAATACATGATATAATAAGACACCAATATGTAACTCTTAACTATTATCAATGTATGTTTAATTTAATTCTGATTCAAGCCCTGGAGAATTGAAAAACAATTCATCCAGAAATTTTTTTAAGGGATAAAATTTATATACAGTTTCGCTTTTCCGTGTTTGGCTTGTCATCAAAGACCTTTGAAAAAACTTTACTCCATTTTGCTTGGCACCCATACCATTTAATATTTCCATTGTTCTGTTTTCTCTTCAAATTCTTTAAATTTCAAAATGGTGATTTTTTTTGTTCCTAATTCTGAAAGTGTATTATAAAACAGTCACACAACATGACTGCAAAGATATATGTAAAATCCTTTTTCCAAATAATTTCCATCTAACAACTTTCCTCTACATAAGAACTTCTTTTGAAACCTGGGGCTGAATGTTAACTTAGAAATTAAGTTTATTTATTTATTACTTCTTAACTACAAATTTCCGGGTTGGCCTCTATCAAAACCCATTGGCAAAAATGCTTCAAAAATTATGTTGAAAATCCATTCAAACAGAATACACATAGGTTTAAAAAAATTTTTAGCTCGTTATTTTGAAATAATTTCAAATACCAAAAAGTTTCAAGAACAATAAAAGTAGCTCTTGTATTTTATTAATTCAAATTTACTGATTGTTAACATTTTACATTTCCCTTTTCTCTCTCAAAGTATTTGTGATTAAGTTGTATAAATCAGGCCCTTTTACTCCCAAATACTTCAATATTTCTTAAGAATAAGGACATGCTTTTACATAAACATAGTGGAATTATTTAACTGAGAACATTTGATATTTATTCAGTACTATTATATATTATAAGAGTCACTGTATGAACTTTCACTATTAGGGTAATCCTTCCTGTCCCATTCCCAATTTAGAATCCAATCCAGGATAATACATTTCAATTAGTTGTCGTATGTCTTTGGTCTCCTTTAATCTGGAACAGTTTTTCAGTCTTTGTCTTTTATGACATTGGCTTCGTTAGAAAAGTACAGGCCAGCTGTTTGGAGTTTGATATTTCTTCATGTTCCCTTGCAGGAGATGCACTTTCAGCAGGTGATGCGTTTTCAGCAGGTATGGTGTGTGAGAAATGCTGCGTCCTTCCTAGTGCATGACATGAAGAGGGACATGGTGTCAGACTGTCCCATTGCTGGTGATGTAAACTGTGATTGCTTGGTTGAGGTGCTGTGTGTCAGGTATTTTCATTGTAAGGTTACCATTTTCTCCTTTTTGTTAACAAAGTTTGTGGAGAGAGGTTTTGAGATTATATAAATATTCTTTTTCTAATCAAACTTTCAGCAATTCTTGTAGCACCCGTTGATGATTCTTACCTGATTTCCATGGATGACTGAAAAATGGTGATTTTTAAATTCTATTATTCTTTCCACATTTATGATGTAACATGCTACTGTAAGGGTTTTCCTTTCTCCCCTCTTGTTTACTTACATATTTCCTTATTATCAATATGAACTCATTGGTTCTTATTCAATGGGTTATAATAAATTACCATAATTATGCATTTCAATGCACAAATCATCACAGATTTGATCAGAGAGAGCCCTTTCAAGTTGGTCATTATGTCCTTTTAACAGGTCGACATCTTTCGTTTAAAAAAAAATTACTTCTTTACTTTGTAGCACCGTAAGATATTCTAAGTTCATCTTGTATTTTCCTTGCCCCAACCCTAGAAGCAGTCCTCTGTGTGTGTGTGTGTGTGTGTGTGTGTGTGTGTGTGTGTGTGTGTGTGTGTGTTTAATGAGGGAATGGTATTTACAAACCCAAATCTAGACATAAAATTAGATTTTAAAAGATATTTACTGTTTCTTCTGTTGTGGTTAAGTGCCAGTTTGGACAAATTTAATTGTCCGTGTAGTCAAACAGTGGGTGATCTATATTGGCAGGCCTAGTATTATAAATCTTAACAAAATTGTAAAATACTACTGCATTTCTTCTATTTTAAGATACTAAGATGCACCATAGTTTTAATAATAGCTTCTTGGAGGGTGGAAGGAGGGTAAAAAACTCCACATTAAGTGTTCACATTGATTATAAGGCATCTACTAGTTTAAAAAACATCAAGATGTGAAGAAATTTGCATCTAAGAATCAAGAAAATAAGCAATTTGTTTCAAAGAAAATCATATCATTATAGCTTCATGTAGAATCTTTCAAATGATTTAAGGAAAGCATTGAATAATATTATAAATAGCTTTGTTTATATTAATCCTTTCTCTTTTACCCTTAACTGTATATTCTTTCATATTTGGTAGGTTGTAATAAAAATTCAGGGGATAGGTCAAAAGAATCTACTTTATTTTTTAAAGATACATGAAAGATAAGAAGAAGCTACAGCCAGGTCTACCCCTCAATGATTGGGCTTAAAGAAGATATTACTAGAAACATGTTAATTTGTTTTATATTTTCTCGTGTGTCTACATTTTAATACGTCTGTTGTATCATCTCAATGGCTTCGAAAACCAAATGTATATTAATAATAAGAAGAAGAATACCTCACATATAAATAGGACTTTATGTTAAACACATTACAAAGGCAATGTTATTAAGGGTAGCATAATGTATTAACTAACTAGAATTTTATTGCCTAGGACAAGTTCCTCCTCTGCTACTTACTAGATTTGTACCCTTAGGCAAATTACTTATCCTTTCTAGGCCTCAGTTTTCTCATCTGTCAAATGAAAATAATACCCTAAAGGAAACATATCCTAAAAGTCATTGTGAGTATAAAATGAGACAATTCAGGGAAAACACACAGACCAGTACAGTGGTTGGTATTCAGTAAGCCTCTCAGTCAATGTTACATAACGAAAAGTCGTTCAAAGACAGAGGTTTGTATCATTCCAATATCTCAAATGAATATTTTCTTTTTACATCCCTTATAAGACAATTTAGTACATTTTTCTATTTGTGAACCCAAATAGAGTCAATAGTGTAATGGCCCAACGGGTTCTCCTTGCCTACTGCCTAGACGGAGCTAATTTATCAAGCCAGGGGAATTGCAATAGAGAGTTTAATTCAACAGAGCTGGCTATACAGGAGACGGGAGTTTTATTATTACTCAAATCAGTCTCCCAGAGAATTCAGGGATCAGAGTTTTTAAGGATAATTAGGGGGATGGGACCGGTGAGTTGGGAGTGCTGATTGGTTGGGTCAGTGATGAAATCATAGGGAGTTGAACCCATCCTCTTGCACTGAGTCAGTTCCCAGGTGGGGACCACAACACCAGATGAGTCAGTTTACCGATCTGGATGGTACCAGCTGATCCATTGCGTACAGGGTCTGCAAAATAGCTCACTCACTGATCTTAGGTTTTACCATAGTGATGTTATCCACAGGAGCAATTTGGAGAGGTTCAGAATTTTGCAGCCTCTGGCTGCATGATTCCTAAACTATAATCTCTAATCTCGTGGCTAATTTGTTAGTCCTTCAAAAGCAGTCTAGTCCCCAGGCAGGAAGGGGGTTTGTTTTGGGAAAGGGCTGTTACCATCTTTGTTTCAAAGTTAAACTATAAACTAAGTTCCTCCCAAAGTTAGTTAACCCTATGCCCAGGGGTAAACAAGGACAGCTTGGAGGTTAGAAGCAAGATGGAGTCAGTTAGGTCAGATATCTTTCACTGTCATTGTTTTCTCAGTTATAATTTTTGCAAAGACAGTTTCAATAGGAAGAATCTTCTTAAGTTCTAAGTCAGGAATATGAATTAGGAAGCTGCACCAAGGTGAACAAGTACACCTACCTATGATGGTTTAATTATCTCTTTGTTTTACTCACCACCAGCAGGTCCTAGACTGACAAACCTATCCTGTGTTCTCATCTACTACTCTCCCATCTATAGGAAAACAACGATTCTCAGAAGCCATTGGTTTAAAAGACTGAGCAAACATATTTGAGACGCAGATAAGCAGAGAAAAGAAAAAAAGAGCACACACCCAACAAGTTTAGATTGCCCCGTCTCTCGCTCAGGTTTAGATTGCCCTGTCTCTCTCTCGAGTTGTGTCGCTCCGGCTGACTCACACTCTGTCATAGTGCTACTCATAAAGAGTCCTGAGGGTACTTAACCCAGGACAATACCACACAGATGATTAACATCAAAGAAAGAAGAGAGACATTCTTTATCATCCATGATAAGGGATTCACAATTTCCCCTTTAATTCTTTAATTGGCCTTTCTAATTAGAGGGATTTGCTGCTTTATTTGGCAGTAGTTGGCTATGATCTGTATGGTTTCTGCAACACTAAGCTTGATTGTTTGCATCTTAAAGGGATTCTGGGGACTCCCTACCCTTTCAGGGATTTCTTTGATGCTCTTCAAGGGTTTTAGAGAACTGAGGTCAAGGATGATCCACTAGCATGCAGAAGGAAACTGGGACTCCACCATTTATTTCAGAGCAGTTACATCACTCACTCTGGCTCAACTCCCATATTGTCAAGTGAAGCAGTGGATGAAGCAAGAAATGTGATCAGGCTGCCGCAGGTCCCCTGCCATTTGCACAACTCTTGTCCTAGGAAGTTTTAACATTGGATTTTTCAAAGTTTTCACCAAACTAAAAGCTGACAAAGAACATAAATTGTTTGGAAAATATCACAGCATGTGGAGGTATGTGGGAAATCAGCACGAAACATAGTTTACTAGGGGCTGTACTATAATGCTCCTTAAATACATAAGGTTAGTACAGAAAATGTAATTACACAATCATCATAAGAAGCAATTTGTAACAATTAACTCTTCAGGGAGGCCTGTTTCCACCTTGCCCTGTGGAAGCCTCAGGTGTTTTTTTCCAAGGGACCAAACCCAGAAATGGCCAAAGTCCTCTTAAAACTAGGGAGCCAACAGCACTGACTTTTGCACTTTACTGCTTAGGCATTTCTTGTCTGTTAACACCCATCCTGCCCCCTCTTTCCCGGGCCCCCATCACCCAGTGTTCACTAAAGTTAGACTCAGAAGTGTCTCAAGTCCCAATATTCTCTCATGCTTTGCACAGAAGCTTAATGCTTTGTACAGAAGCTTAATGCTTTGTAGAAGCTGGACATGTGGCTTCCTTTTCCCCTCTAGCTACCAGTTTACTGACCATGATCTGTTTGACCTTTGGCTACCAGCCTATATCCCTTCAGCCTCAGGGGTTTTCATGGCTATTCCTGGTCTAAGATTTTCATCTTTGAGTTCAGTGGCTTACCAAAGATCTAATTCAGCAGACTGTCTGCCTCTGGCTCCTTAATTAGCTCCCGGGAGGCTTTCCTTGAAAGTCTTTCTGGATCATTTTGAAAGGGGCATTTCCTGTGTCTAAAGCTCCCTCCCCATCAGGAGGTATAGCTTAAAGCTTGGCTTACTCACCCTAGACACAGCTCACCAAGGCCCCTGATTATAAAAACATGCTATGAGAAGGATCAAGGATGAAACAATTTCTCTCTTTATGCCTTTGTTTCCTCAAAGGATGTTACTTGGCCACCTATTATATTTAATACACTGAAAGGCTACAGTGATGAATGTATTTTGGTTCCTGCCTTAGAAGATGTACAATGGTTCTTTAACTTCATTGTACATAAGAATCACCTGGAGAGACTATTAAAAACAAGACACTCAAGCTCCATAACTCGAATATTATGATTCCATTATCTCAGTGTAGAAGGTGTAGACGGTGGCCTGATAATCTGTTTTCTTTTGTTTAGTTTGAAACAGAGTCCAGGCTGGAATGCAATGGCTCCATCACAGGCTCACTGCAGCCCTGACCTCCTGGGCTAGCGTGATCCTCCCACCTCAGCCCCGCAAGTAGCTGGGACTACAGGCACATGCTACTACACCAGGCTAATTTTTAAAATTTTTCTGTAGGGAAGGGGTCTTACTCTATTGCCCAGGCTGGAGAATCTGTGTTTTGAATAAGCACCCCAAAGAACTGACATGGGATCCCCTGGATACTTAAATAAACACAACTCTGTAAAAGAGATAGTTCAAGCTTAAGTCATCCACTCTCAGGTACACAGTTCTGGAAACCAGTAGACAAAACATGGCCTATATGTTTGGTTTTCCTAAATAAAATGTGGAACTTGTGTTCTATGTGTATTGTTTATTCCCTCCAAAATACTCATATTGCTTTATATCCTTTTACTTTCCTTTCCTTTGTCACTGAAGTGAGCATTGTGTGTCTCTATTTTAGAGATGGGGAAGAAGTTACAAACCATCACTTGATCTACCACCCATTGCACAGCAAGTTGTAGCAAGTTCAGGTCTCCAGCAAGTAAACGCAACACCTTCACAACATAACAAGACAGCATTGTTTTTTAACTTCAGAAAATACAGTGGGCTCCCCAAGCTCCTGTGTGCATTGATTACTCAATGTTGCAAAAATAAGAAACAATTTGACTTTCTCAGGTTCACCAAGCTATGGGTGTTGCCTAGGAATCTGAAATTTTTAGGAGGTCTCCAGTGCAGGATGCTGCTGGGAATGTATGGAGGGTTATGGGGGAGGAATGTATAGATGGCTCAGAAGAGAGTAGGTTGAGTCTCCTCACCTGCAAGTCCCACAGTGCTGTTCAACTTGTACCCATTGAACTTTGTGCTCATGGCTATTTTTATTCTTTTCTGGGCTCCTAAACCTAAACCTTTCTTGTTTTTCTTTCCCTTTAGAAATAAGCTTTCTTGTTTTTATTTCCCTTTAGAAAAATATTCAGGGCACAATTATCTCTGTCGATTTGGAGCAATGATTGTGGTCTTTCCATATGTGATTGCCAAAGTCCATTTATCTCTAGTGTGAATGAAGCCTGTGGATTCTCTGGTGTTATCTAAATTATTCTGGTGTTAAAAGATATACTTGGGAGTATAGAAAATTATAAATAAGGTAAATATGAATATATATGTAAATATACGTGTGTGTATATGTGTATGTGTGTGTGTGTGTGTGTGTGTGCATTTTGAGATCGGGGCTTGCTCTGTCACCCAGGCTTGAGTGAAGTAGTGCCATCACTGCTAGCTAACTGCAACCGCCACCTCCAGGGCTCACGCGATCATCCCACCTCGGCCTCCTGAGCAGCTGGAACTATAGGTGTGTGCCACCATGCACGTATAATTTTTGTACTTTTGTCAAAACTAAGTTTTGCCATGTTGCTCAGGCTGGTCTCAAACTCCTGGACTCAAGTGAACCCCCCACCTAGGCCTCCCACAGTGCTGGGATTACGGCTGTGAGCCACAGCTTCTGGCCAAATATGCACATGTTAAATAGATGTTATATACCTATATATAATAGGTACACATTTCAAAAATCTTTTGAAAGGTCCATTTGCCATCAGTTCTTTTATTGCAACCCCTTTTTCCACCTTCAACTTCAAATATTGTATGAAGCTTTTCTCAAAACAATTTGTAATGGAAACACAAGGATTTATTTGCTGGCTCTCATCCTAGTCAGAGAAATGCTTTGTAGATGGCCATGTCAAACTCATGTGAGGCATTCTAAAACTCTGGAGAGAGGCAGTGGAAAAAAATCTCCAAGTATCCTCATCTGTATAATCTCTGCTTGCAAGACTGGTTCACAGTAAAACCATGAAAAGCACCAGCATTCTACTGGGTTCCAGCTTCTCTTCCTCTCGGCTCTGCAAATATTTCCATGTTAACAATTCCTTTGGTCTATCTCAAGCATCAGCATCCTCTACCTTGATGAAAGTATAGATTTTTGTGTTTTTTTCTAAAGCGTAAATGATCACTTGAGGAGAATTGGAAAGTTCTTGATAAATGTAAAAAGGTTTCAGAATCTATAGACCTTCATCTAGATCCTGCTTTTCCCTGCTTTTCTCTTGAGCTTGGACAAATTGTGTGGCCTCTCTTAGCCTCAGTTTCTTCAGCTATAAAATGAGGTTAATAATAGTGCTTCCTTCAAAGGGGTGTTGTAATGAATAAATGAGAAAGGCACACAAAATGCTTAACATAGCATGGGCTCATAATATGCATTCATTAAAGGTTTAATAATTATTATTTGTCTTGGGAACATCTGTGTGCTCATTATCAGAACTTTAAGAAAAATAAAACTTTATTAAGATTATCAACAAGCAAATGGATGAGTATTTGTTGGGGGTAGGGGGACTCAATAAATGTTCCTGCTTGAAATAATACTGTCAGCTTTTTTCTTTGTTTTTGACAGAGTCTGGCTCCACGGCCCAGGATGGAGTGCAGTGGCGCAATCTCAGCTCACTGCAACCTCCGCCTCTAGGGTTCAAGCCATTCTCCTGCCTCAGCCTCCCGAGTAGCTGGGATTACAGGCATGCACCACCACACCCAACTAATTTTTTGTACTTTTAGTAGAGTTGGGGTTTCGCTATGTTGGCCAGGCTGGTCTCGAACTCCTGGCCTCCAGTGATCTGCCCACCTCGGCCTCCCGAAGTGCTGGGATTACAGTCGTGAGCCATCATGCCCAGCCACTGCTAGCTTTTGATAATCTGGCTGCTGGATGTCTGAGGAAGTCATTGTTTCCTTCAGATGTATTTATTCAGCAAAACTGTATTGTGCATATGCTATGTGAACTACATGTCAATAAGTTAAACACACACACACAAACAGAACTGTACTGTGCACTCTTCTATATGCAGAGTAGTGAGATAAGTGCAAAGGATATTAAGATAAAGAAAGCACAGTTCCTGCCCCCGAATGTGAATGGGAGATCATCAGAGCTTTGTTCATATCTTCACTCTCCATTTAATACATCCCTAGAGCACACTTCTGCACTCAAAGGAGAATGTACCTGAATGAGTCAATGCTGAAGACGGTACACAAGGTCCCCTGCTCTGAATCATCTAACAGCTCCTCTAGCCACCATGGGAGTCAAGAGAAGTCCTTTCTCATTTCACTTTCTTTCCTTGCCCAACCTGGTGTCAGAGTGACCTCTATCAAGAGTCTCCTCCATAAGGAGTTGGGAAGTGGTTATTATGGGATTGGAGATGGTAAGGACCAGATCATCAAAATGGGATTTCTACAGGTGCCATGGCAGGTTGGAGCAGTGGCATAAAAAGCAAAAAACGCAAATTTCCTGTCACTTTGAATCTCAGACTTCACACAGTACAAGTTCTCCATTGCTACAAGGCTGCAAAGTGCTCCAGCTAAAATTCCCTTGCCAGTGTGAAGCCACTTCTACCTCTCCTCTCCCCGCCTCAGGGCTTAGAAATGCTGAAGTTATGAGTACAAGTTTTCCATTGCTTTGCCATTTTTTTTTCCCCAAAGAAAGAAAAATGTTAGTTTTCAGGGCAAGATAAAATGAAAAACAGTTTGGGTAAATCAGCCAGGCCAGCAAAGAATAGTTTTGGACCAGAAATTATTCTGGCTTTATGAAACGGAAATTAAACAAAAAAAAGATGATGACTCCTTGGCCAGAATGAGATGTCTTTTTTCAGTAGCAGGGGAATGTTCTGTAATACAGCAGAGGAGCCCTGAGCCGGGAGTTAGTTGAGAAGCATGGGTCTTATCCTGGCTATCAGTGGTTTCTGTGATCTTAGATAAGTTGTATCACCTCTCTTGCCTCAGACTCATCACTAGAAAAGAAAACAATATGATCCTTGAGGTCTCTTCCATCTTAGACACACCATCTGTCTGTGAAGTGTAAGAGTATAACATCACAGCTCACGGAGCTATTTAGATTATTTGATGGGTTTTCTTCCGAAGTCTTATCACAATATAGACATGCAGTTATGACAGAATGTTGGATGCATAATTCTAACTCTAAATCTTGCCTTTTCAAACCCTGAGTCTAAATGATTCCTAAGACTGGCATTCAATTTCCCCCAGCCAGCTATGTGTTGGCAGCTCACAAATCAGTTTTCTATACATTATTTTATGTAACTTTTATCACTACCTTGTGAGGTATTATCTTTCCATTTTACAGATGAGAAAAAAAATGAGCTCAAAGAAGTGAAATGCTCTATCTTCCACAGATGACAAGTGGCATAACTGGGACTTATATAAATATTTTGACTTTCATGTTAGTTCTCTTACGCTATATCTTTGTGGTAATCCTGGTTAATGTGGAAAGAGCTATGAAGCCTTGGTTAAATAAAGTTTCAAGTTGAAATATTTTTGTCATCTGTTAACTGAGGCCCTGCCTACATCACTTCTAATAGAATTAATTAGCTGCCACCATCCATATGAGACACTGACCGTGAAAGACCTAGAGACATTACTTTAATAATACCACCATGTCAGATTATGGCTAATTATTCTTGTCCTCTTCTACTTGTCATCTTGTTAATACGTTCTCACCATTTGTGCATTACCCAAGCCAAAACCTCCAGGAATCTTTCACTTCTTTTATCTTATCTGCTATGTCTAACAGGTCACTACATCTTGTACTTTTTTTCCCTTGGAAATATGTTAAAACCATCTCTCCCACCTATACCACTGCCAATTCCCAGGGTCAGCTCAAATCACCCGTTCTCCTTGATTCAAGCTCTACTGTCACTAGTCCATCTAGAACCCACAAGCAATTATTTTTCAGAATCATAACTTCATGCAACTCCTGCTCTTAAGAACTTTTCATCCATACCCACCATGACCCCTGACCTCCAAATTAGACTCTATATCCTGGCATTATCATCTTTCCTCAATCAGCTTCCAACTTAAATGTGCTGGCCTTGTCTCTTCATTCTGCTCAATGTTCACCTTATACTTAGTCTCCAGTTCCCCTCAGGAGAGAAGATACAAAATGAGAAGAGTAAAATTAAATGGTCTAATTCTAGAACCATCAACATTTGAATGCTAATTGAAAGAAGAGGAATCAGTGGAACTGAGATAAAGCAGCCTCAGAGGTAAAAGGTCCTGCATTCATTAAACAACAATGTTTAAGGTCTTTTTCACAAAAGATCGGAACGTAGCTGAAATGTTCTTGGTAGGAAAACAGGAGCTTCAGAGGGCACAAAGGAATAGAGAACAGGAGGAAATGGGTCCAAAAAAGGAAGGGGCTGAACTTAGCAGAAATGGGAGAGTCAGAACAGACAGCTCAGTACATCTCAGGGATAGTAAAGGAACAAAAGCTCTGTGATTGGATCCCACCTTAACACAAAAGTGTGGTTGCAATCTGACTACTTCCCATAAATATATTATCCTCAACTGGTGATTCATTCATTCAACGAGTACTTTCTGTGTGCTTGGCATAAGAATAGAAGTTCAGTTAAGCAATGGTGACCCAGAAATCTAAAAGGAAAAAGAAAAAAATAGAAGAAAAGAGAAGTATGAAAAATTCCACAATCCTTATATGAAGGAGCCTATGACCCAGTGTTTGGGATTGTCAAGTGTTTGGGACTGTTTTATGACTTTATCATAAAACAATGATAAAGACAAGCACAGGATTTGGGGGTAGATAGAGCCCTGAGGGATCCAGAAAGTTTTCTTCTTATGGAAGATGTGGTGCCACTGATTTCGGAAGCTTTAGCCTCATTTCTTGGGTTTTGAAAGAGTTTGACTAGTTCACCTATACTAAAGAAGTTAAGGAATGACATCCTATTACACTGACAGGTGGGGCTGAGAACCATCATAATTGAGGTACTTAGGTTACTATAAATTTCTACTTTCAGACTTTCTTTCAACATCTTGCATAAGAAGAAAACTTCCTGGATCTCTCAGGTCTCAATCTACCCCAAAATCCGGTGTTTGCCTTTATCATTGTTTTATTTACGTGACAGTCCAAAAACACTGGGTCATAGGCTCCTTGAATAAAAGGACTGTGGAAATTTTCCAACTTCTTCTCTTAGTCTGAAAGTATGGGCACATTTATAGTAACCTAAGTACCTCAGTTATGATGGTTCTCAGCCCCACCTGTCCGTGTAATAGGATGTCAGTCCTTACCCTTCCTCACCTAGTCCTTTCCTCCTCTAGTGTCCAGGATGGTGCTGTCCAACCAGGATCCTTTGTCATTCTGGGCCTCTGCCTCTTTTCCTAGTCATTAGTGCTCTGGACTCATCAATTCTACTCTATCTATAGGCCTATTGCACATCTGCTGATTTCCTCCTGTGATCTGGGACACCTGACCTCCCTGGTGAATTGTGCAACCATCCCACTAACTTTGGAGTGAGAGGGAGATGGGGCCAGAGGCTGCCCTCCTTTATGACATTTCATTGAATGGATGGAATGCACCCTTTTCTTCACTTCCCACAGCAGAGTAGAGCGCAGGCTGTGTCTTTTAATAGGACTTTATTGAAGTTCCTCATTGACAAAAGGGAGTCACAACTCATAGAGTAACACAACTGCTTCTGGATGTGGTTGTGCTCAGAGCTGAGCTCAAGGGCCAGTCATTGCACACCAAAATATTCCTTAGATAGTTCCTGATGAGCTATGAGGTTCCCTGCCTTCTAAGCCTTCCTGTGAGGTAGAGACCAACATAACCCTATCACCAGAAACCTACTCAAGCAAGTCTAAAATCTCTAGAATTCTGGTTCCAAGGGTCAGAAGCCTCAGAGAAAAAGAAAAACCTAGACTTGGTGAGATGTTTATGTCCTATTTTCCAAGATCTCGTTACCTTCCAAAGGTCAGTCGCTTGCCAGGATGATTGCCAAGAGGAATAATGACCTTCCCTAAGAGAATTATCACCTTCTACTCACTGGGGTGTGACCCTGTTCTCAGGTCCCAACAAGGCAACACATTAGTAAAGATGATAATGATAATAATAATAAATGTTCTTATTGTGCAAAGTACAGGGTACTGTTCCGAGCACTTACGTTATTAATTAATCTTCAAGGTTATCTCAAGAGGTGTGTACAATTATCCACCCCTTTTAAAGATGAAGAAATTGGGGCACAAAGTAGTCAAGTAACTTGCCCAAGATCACATAGCTTCTAAGTGGCAAAGTTGTACTCAAATCCAGGCAGTCTGATTCCAGAACTTAAACTGTTACCCAGTGCATCATACTGGCTTACAACCAGGGGAAGTACTTTTCCTAAATTCTGAGTGGTTCATTTTTTTTAACTTGAGATTTAATTCACATACCTTATGATTAATCCATTTAAAATGTTTAGTTCAGAGGTTTTTGGTATATTTTCAAAGTTGCATGACTATAATCACAATCTAATTCTAAAATATTTTCATCACCCTCTCAAAAGCACTCATAACAATTAGCAGTTATTCTTCATTTCTCCTCTGCCCCACATACCCCATGGCAACTATCACTTTGTCTCTGTAGGTTTGCTTATTCTGGATATTTCATATAAATGGAAATATACTAAATGTGGTCCTCTGGGATGGGCTTAATTCATATACCACAATATTTTTGAGATTCATCCATGTTAAGCATATATCAGAACTTCATTACTTTTCACTGCTAAATTATATTCCACTGTATTGATATGCCACATTTTGTTTATCTGTTCATCAGCAGGTGGACATGTGGATTGTTTCCACTTTAAGGTTGATATGATTAGGCTTTGTGTCTCCACCAAAATCTCATCTTGAACGGTAATCTGAATTGTAATTCTCACATGTTAGGGGAGGGACCTTGTGGGAAATGATTGGATCATGAGGTGTGGGGGAGGGGGTTCCCCCATGCTGTTCTTGTGATAGTGAGTGAGTTATCACAAGATTTCATGGTTTTATAAGGGACTCTTCCCCTCCACTCTGCATTTCCCTTTCCTGCTGCCTTGTGAAGAAGGATGTGTTTGCTTCCCCTTCTGTCATGGTTGTAAGTCTCCTGAGGCCTCCCAGCCATGCTAAACTGTGACTCTATTAAACCTCTTTCCTTTACAAATTACCCAGTCTCAGGTATTTATTTATAGCAGTGTGAAAACAGACTAATACAGGGGTATTATGAGTAACACTGCTATGAACATTCATGTACAATGTTTTGTGTGGCTATATGTTTTTATTTTTCTTGGGTGCATATTAGAAGAATTATTGGTAACTCTGTGTTACCAATAATTACTGGTAACTGTTTTTATCAGTTTTAAATTGTTCAAAATATGGGCCAGCAGGAGCATAATCTAGTAAAATTTCCACTGGTTTGCTATTTTTACTTACTTCCTTAAAATAGTTTTTACAGTGAGAAGTAAAAAATTCACATATTGTTCTTCTTATTAGCTTCTGGGACTCAGCTCAATTACTCAGGAATCCAAGAACACATTCAAGCACACACCTACATTCACACACACACACTTTAATATATACACATATCCTGCCATTTAAAGTGCAAAGTCAACTTTTCTATAATTGAAGGAAAATTGGGGATATAAAGTCTATGTATTAATAAGTAGACCTGGTAGGTTAACTATTTAGTCATGTGTTTAACAGGCTTTATACTTGTGTGCCTCCCACATTACCTGGCTCATTCCTTTAATTTTCCCTTGTCTTTGCATTCCTGTGGCACCAGTGCCACCCTGCAGCTTGAGGTCAGTGTTACTTTCCTCAAAGCTACCTGAACATGGCCCACATTGGCTCCCTGAAATTCTGGTTGGCAAGCATCTCTTCCTCTGGAGATTTTCCTGAGGATTGAAAAATACAAGTTTGAAAATGGCCTAGTGAACCTTTCAGGTATTTTGTGCAAGGTACGGAGAGTCCTGGAGAAAAACAAAGAATGAAAATTCCCCTCACAGCAATGATTTCCAGAGACAGGATGTCAGTTTAAACATGACTCCCAAACTCACAACCTCAAAATTTTTAAACACTGTTGGGTGGATGCCATCTGATTTTGGTGATTTATCTGAATTTAGCTCATCAAACAGGCTTTGGTTCTATATCTACCTTGAGCTGCTACCTCTTCTTTTCGTCTTTCCGGTCTGGTGACTGACCTCTCTCCTCAAATCTGCGAGTTCTAGGCTGTTCACATTAAAGATTTCTTTCCCAATAAAAATTTCCAAGAAATTTCTGGATGAGGCAGAATGATGCTGCACCTCTAAACTACTAATGGTTCCCTGGTTGCTGGGTCTATTTTTTTATTTTACTTTTTAAAATTGGCAAATAATAATGGTACATATTCATGGGGTGCATAGTAATGTTTTGATACCTGTAATATATGGTGATCAGAGCAAAGTGATTGGCATATGCATCATCTCAAACATTTATCATTTCCTTGTGTTGGAAACATTCTATTTCCTCCTTCTAGTTATTCAAAACTATGTATTATTGTTAACTATAGTCATCTTAAGGTAGCAATGGTGGACTAAAGTGTGTTCCTCCTATTTAGCTGTAATTTTGTATCCTTTAACAAATCTCTCCCCATCCCTCCTTTCCCACTGTACTTCCCAGCATCTAGTATCCTCTGTTCTACTTTTTACTTCTGTGAGATCACCTTTTTTTAGATTCTGCATAGGAATGGGAACATACAGTGTTTAACTTTTTGTTCCTGGCTTATTTCACTTAACGTCTTTCAATTCCATCCATGTTGCCATGAATGACAGGATTTCACTCTTTTTTATGACCGAATAGAATTCCATTGTGTATATATATCACATTTTCTTTATCCATTCATATGTTATTGGACACCTGGGCTGATTCCATATCTTGGCTATTGTGAATAGTATTGCAATAAACATGGGGGTGTAAATGTTTCTGACAGAATGATTTCCTTTCCTTTGGATAAATTCCCAGTAGTAGAATTGCTGGATTATATGGTCATTCTATTTGTAGTTTTTTGAGTAACCTCCATACTGTTCTCCATAGTAGCTGTACTGGTTTACATTCCCACCAACAGTGTTATAAAAATACTCTTTTCTTCACATCCTTATCAGCATTGGTTGTTGTTGTTGTTGTTGTTGTGTGTGTGTTGTTGTTGTTGTCTGTTTGGAAATAGCCATCCTAACTGGGGTGAGATGATATCTCATTGTAGTTTTGATTTGCATCTCCTTGATGATTAATGATGCTGAGCATTTAAAAAATATATTTCTTATCCATTTGTATGTCTTCTTTTGGGAAATATCTATTCAGATCATTTGCCCATTTTAAAATCAGGTTGTTTTTTACTGTTGAGATTTTGAGTTCCTTGTCTATTCTAATGATACTAATACCCCGTCGGATAAATAGTTTGCATATATTTCCTCCTATTTTATAGGTTATCTTTTCACTCTGTTGACTATTTCCTTTGCGGTGCAAAAGCTTTTTAGTTTGATATAATCCTACCTTATTTTTGCTTTTGTTGCCTGTGCTTTTAAGATCTTATTCATACAATATTTTCCCAAACCAATATCCTGAAGCACTTCCCCTATATTTTCTTCTAGTATCATCCTATTTCTTCTAGCATATTTTCTTTCTTTTGTCATTTCAGGTCTTACATTTCAGTCTTTGATCCATCTTGAGTTGATTTTTGTTTACGGTGAGAGGTAGGGATCTAGTTTCATTCTTCTTGCATATGGATGTCCAGTTTTCCTAGCATCATTTATTAAACAGACTATCTTTTCCCTAGTAAGCATTCTTGGAACCTTTGTAAAAAATCAACTGGCTGAAAATATGTGGATTTCTGGGTTCTCTATTCTGTTCAATTGGTCTACATGTCTGTTTTATGACAGTATCCTGCTGTTTTGGCTACTACAGCTTTGTAGTACATTTTGAGGTCTGGTAGTGTGATTCCTCCATCTTTGTTATTTTCACTCAGGATTGCTTTGGCTCTTTGGGGTCTTTTGATATTTCCTACAAATTTTATGATTTTGTTTCTATTTCTGTGAGGAATGTCATTGGTATCTTGATAGAGATTGGGTTGAATCTATAGATAGCTTTGGGTAGTATTGTCATTTTAACAATATTAATTCTTCCAACTATAAGCATGGGATGTTTTTTCCATTTGTTTTGTATCCTCTTTAATTTCCTTTATCTGTATTAGTCTGTTCTCATACAGTTGATAAAAACATACCTGAGACTGAGTAACTTATAAAGAAAAAGTTTAATGGCCTCACAGTTCCATGTGGCTAGGGAGGCCTCACAATCATGGCAGAAGGTGAAAGCCATGTCTCACATGACTGCAGGTAGGAGAGAAAATGAGAACCAAGTGAAAGGGGTTTCCCTTTATAAAACCATCAGATCTCATGAGACTTATTCACTTCCATGAGAACAATATGAGGGAAACTGCCCCTATAATTTAATTATCTCCCACCAGCTCCCTCCCACAACACGTGAGAATTATGGGAACTACAATTCAAGAGGAGATTTGGGTGGGGACACAGCTAAACCATCTGACATCACTGTTTTTGTAGTTTTCCTTGTAGGGGTCTTTCACTTCCTTGGTTACATTTATTCTTGGATTCTTGGGTACTTTTTTTTTTTTGGTAGCTATTGTAAATTGAATTACCTTCTTGACTTATTTTTCAGCTACTTTGTTGTTCATGTATAGAAGCACTACTGATTTATACATGTTAATTGTGTGTTCTGCAACTTCACTGAATTTGTTTATCAGTTCTAAGAGCTTTTTGGTAAAGCCTTTAGTTTTTTCTATATATAAGATCATATCATCTGCAAACAGGAACAGTTTGACTTCCCCCTTCCAATTTGGATGTCCTTTATTTATTTCTTTTGCCTAATTGTGCTGGCTAGCACTTCCAGTTTTATGCTGAATAGGGGTAATGAGAGTAGGCATCCTTATCTTGTTCTAGTTCTTAGAGGAAAAGCTTTCCCTTTCAGTAAGATGTTAGCTGTGGGTTTGTCATATATGGCCTTTATTGTGTTGAGGTACTTACCTTCTATACCTAATTTATTGAGAGTTTTTTGTTTGTTTGTTTGCTTTTTTTTTTGAGACGGAGTTTCACTCTTTCACCCAGGCTGGAGTGCAGTGGCGTGACCTCGGCTCACTGCAACCTCCACCTTCTGGTTTCAACTGATTCTCCTGCCTCAGCCTCCCGAGTAGCTGGGATTACAGGCACCTGACACCACACCCGGCTAATTTTTGTATTTTTAGTAGAGACAGGGTTTTACCATGTTGGCCAGGCTGGTCTCCAACTCCCGACCTCATGATCCACCCACCTCAGCCTCCCAAAGTGTTGGGATTACAGGCATGAGCCACTGTGCCCAGCCTATTGAGAGTTTTTATCATACATTTTGTAATACTGAATTTTATAAAATACTTTTTCTGCCTCTATTAAAATGATCACATGGTTTTTGTCCTTCGTTCTATTGATGTGATGTATAGCATTTATTGATTCACATATATCAATTATCCTTGAATTCCTGGGATACATCTCATTTGGACACGGTTTATCATTTTTTTGATGTGTTGTGGATTAGTTTGCTAGTATTTGGTTGAATATTTTTGTGTCTACGTTCATCAAAGATACTGGCCTGTAGTTTTCTTTTAAGGTTGTGTACTTGCTTTGTTTTGGTATCAGGGTTATGCTGGCCTCATAGAATGAGTTAAGAAAAATTCACTCTGCTTTAATTTTTTGGAATAGTTTGAGAAAAATTGGTATTAATTCTTCTTTAAAGTTTTAATAGAATTCAATAATAAATATTGCTTTTTGCTTATTTGACTTGTTTTTTTTTTTGGAGACAGAGTGTTGCTCAGTCACCTAGGCTAGAGTGCAGTGGTGCCATCTCTGCTCACTGCAAGCTCTGCCTCCTGGGTTCACGCCATTCTCCTGCCTCAGCCTCCCGAGTAGCTGGGACTACAGGTGCCCGCCACCACGCCCGGCTAATTTTTTTTTGTATTTTTAGTAGAGATGGGGTTTCACCATGTTAGCCAGGATGGTCTGGATCTCCTGACCTCGTGATCCACCCACCTCATGATCCACCGGCCTCAGCCTCCCAAAGTGCTGGGATTACAGGCTTGAGCCACCACTCCCGGCTGCTTATTAGACTTCTTTACCCACTTCTTAGCCTGCTCCTCTCTTGGGTTCTTCACACCTGCTGCCTGCCTGAATATGTGGTTATGATTCATTTAATTTATAAGCCATCATTATGCTCTGCCCTTCTTTTCTGGTATTGAGGGTCCAGTCTCCTTCATCTCCTTCATCACCCAACTGCTGATGGCCTATTGTCATGTAGAAACATCACTACCCTTTTGGTCTGTTCACCATCCTGTGGGCTCCCCTTGTTCAAATATCTTCCTTTATCTGCTGGCTGTACTGCTGTTGATGGTGCCAGCATGACCTAGAACATTTACTCCTATTTTATCAAGTATCTGACCTCTGCTCTGCATTAAAAGATACTTGACCAAGATGAATTCAATTCTATTCCCTTTTCTATTCTGTTTCCACTTCAATAAAATCCATATAGGTTACCACGAAAAAAAAAAAAGAAAAAAGAGACAGAAAAGAAAACAGCAAAGGAATATCACAGGCAACATTTTAAGATGATTCAGAAATTTTCAGTGAATCTGTGTAATGAACCACCAGTTGATTAAAAAGATACTGTTTCTCTAAGTCTAGCATAACTTAAATTCACGGAACTAAATAAATTTGAATGCTATTTTTAAAATGGAAACATCCAAGGGAAAATGGAAGAAAAATAATTTAAGCCTATGATTGCCTAACATTTTAATATTAATAGACTGATTTTGAAAGCATTAGCAAACCTAATTTTATATATGAGGTAGTATCAGATGTACTATCAGATAAAGAATTGGAATGAGACATTTACTCCATTTTGTTCAACATAGCTGCCCAATCCAGATGTTAAATTAATAATGAATTTCATTGGGTTTCAAAATTAGATTGATTAGTCAAGTATTTTGACAATTATAAAATATAGTAGCTAAGATTCCTTTATGTGCCAAGAACTGTGTTGAAAGTTTCACATGGATTTCCTGATTTAATTCTAACAATAACCATATGAGGTGGGTATTGTTATTATCACCATTTTAAAGATAGAAATGCTGTTTCCTGGACAAGTGAATTTCCTCTTTCAAGACCACTCATCTATTAAAAACTAGATTTGTGATTCCCGCACAGGCTACCTGACTCCAGAACCAGTGCAATTAAGCACTAAGTGCAACAGAGAGAGAATTCTTTTGTTGTTTGTTTGTTTTTGGGACAGACTTTCGCTCTTGTTGCCCAAGCTGGAGTGCAATGGCGCAATCTTGGCTCACCGCAACGTCCGCCTCCGGTGTTCAACCGATTCTCCCGCCTCAGCCTCCCGAGTAGGTGGAATTACAGGCATGCACCACCACACCTGGCTAATTTTATATTTTTGGTAGAGACGGGGTTTCTCCATGTTGGTCAGGCTGGTCTCAAACTCCCGACCTTAGATGATCTGCCCACCTCAGCCTCCCAAAGTGTTGGGATTACAGACATGAGTCACCGCGCCTGGCCTGAGAATTCTTTGATTGCTCCTTTTTATTCTTTATGTTCCTATGCTATGTGTTCTGACCTTAACATGAAGGAAAACTACCTTTTTGATTTATTTGGGCTATGCTGCTTATGTCAATGGAGGGAGCAAAAGGTTAGGTCAGTGAGCATGTTCTTAAAATAAATAAAATGTCTTTTCCCAAGATATTTATTCCTCAGTACCTGAACTGGCTATTAGTACTGAATGACAAAAAGCAAGTTACATGTACATTTTTCTAGTCTTCAGAAGGAACTCATTACTCAGGATGTTCACAAGCTACAATGTGGCCACTGCAAAATGTATCATTTTAAAATAACACTTATCAGCATGCTTCATGATAACTATCACATGTTTAGTATACATGTTTAGTGTATTTTTCTTCAGTTGAGTTGCCCATATTAGGCACTCTCTTTCCTTTGATAGTTTTGGAATAGCATCTTTGTCTAGTCTGACTTCTTCATCTTTCCTTTTCCTGCTTTCCCTTTACATAATCTTGCTCATCTGTCTCTCAGACTCCACCCAGCCCTCACCCTTACTATGTTTTCTCAGCATTTGTTTCCCCTGCATACTTTTTAGGCTAAACACATTCTCTTTCACGTCTTCTTTTCTTCTGAATCTATTCTCAGCATAAATTCAGCAAATGATTGGATTCAAGTATTTTAAAAAGAAATCCATTTTGTTCTAAAATCTACTTTTTAAGTGAATTAAACTAATTTTTTTCCTTGCCAAATTCTGACATCCCTGCTCATGTGTTCCACAAATAGGTCCTCTTGGTTTTGATACCTGAATCTCCCTCTGTTTATCATGTTCACATAAAGCCCCTTTCACCCATTCCTGAGTGTCTAAGCCATCCCATCTCTGGCAGTAGGCCCATCTGTATTCCAGCTGCCTTGTCCATCTAAGACTGTTATAGCCATTTCCATTTATGTCTGTCCCTGAAGCCATCTTGTATGTTTTCCCTAAAGGGTACCCCCACCCCAGCTGACCTTTCTTCGCTAGTTGCCCCCTTTCCCTTGTCTTCTAGAAAAGAAGACAGACGAGATCCATTTCCAGTCCCTCCACGTTTTCTCTGCAGATCACAGGCATGATTTGTTTCAGAACATTCAAGGGATACAGAGTAGCTGTTGGACGTGGCTGCCTGAAGAGGACAATATGCCTGACATAAATCTAAAGGAAAGGGTGCCAATTCTTGATCTTTTGGCCCTTTCTTTCAGACTTTATATTAACATTGAACTCTTTTTTTCAAAGTATTGCTCTGACATGAATCGATGTATACAGTTACCTGAAACTTCTACATATTAAAACTCACGATTAAGTTATGCGTGCAAAGGTTAGCTATTTTTAAAAGAAGGATGAATACTTTCCTTGCTGATAGTCATGCCAATAATTATATTGTAAAGCATTCTTCTATTAGGTTGATTTCTTTGTATAATGCATTTAGAAGGATTAGAATGAAAAGATTTGGTCAAGTTCAGTATCCATTGCAGCCAATACCAGTGGCTTGCGACCTGCCCACACCAGCATCTCCAGGGACATGGTGGATTTCAGCTGCTGCATCACCAACCTGTTGCCAAGGAAACAAGAGAGGGCAAAAAAATCCTCAATGACATTCACTTTCAAGGCAGTCAAGATACCCCTGAAAAGGATTTCAGTACTGCTATGAAGGAAGTTGAAACAGGCTCCTAATTATAAATTCTAAGCTGTCTCCTCTTGTATCAAGTATGCTGTTTGCTTAGATCTCAATCTTTCAGTCATTCTCTATTACCAAGTCATATACTCCAGACATCAGAATAGCAAGCAATATTTCCTAAAGAAAGGAAGAAGAAAAGGGAGAAAAGAGAGAAAAGCTGGGGGTGGGGGGGAAGCACATAATAGTAAAGCTGTTAAATGGTATAAGACACACTTATAAGGCAAGTGAAGTCATAAGTCCTCACCAAAGTAGGGCTGGCATAAATTTCTCTATATTTTTAGGATTTAAAATGCATTCATAAGTATATTTGTGCAAAAGCAGTTGAGAAATTCTATACACATTTATGTCTGTATTAGAAAGTATAAACTTGGTCCAGTATTTTGAGTTTTCGATGTTCATTCAGGTACAAAATACACAGGGCAGAACTTTTACGTAACTGCTTTGTATGAGAGTCATCCCCTTCTCTTCCCAACATACAGAAAACAGTATATTTAACTCATTAGTTTCATTAATGCTTGTAACTTTCAATGTCTGGGGACATATATGTAATTGTGTAGAAGGGTGTATAGACATGTGACATACATCTTTGTAAAGACATTGATGAATTCATCACTGTGTAAGCCAGTGGATATTGATGCCCTGCCCAGATACCCACACTGGCCCCTCCTTAGTGATCTCTCCTGGGCTTCTGGACAGCTTCATTCTCTCCAGCAGCACTTACCCATGCCTACCAACTTCCTGACCTCAGGCTCTTGTCCTTGTAGAATTTGACTCTCGAATTCGTGGGGCTCAGAATAACGTTCTCTGAAGGTAGTAGCTATGAAACGCCCTACACCAGTGCTTCTTAACCTTTCACTTACATATGAATCATTTAGATTCTGATTCAGTAGTTTCGAGTTGCCCATAATCTCCCAGGTGATGCTGAAGATGATGCTCCAAGAAAGTAAACTATAAATTTTCTGAAGATAGCAGCTGATTCTTGTTGATGTCTAATACAGTGACTGCCAAGATGAATGTACTTAATACATCTCTTCTGAATGAAGTTAACTTTATGATACCTCCCCACCCCACCTCACCCTCATTGCCACCCCTGGAAAGTGGTGAAAAACTTTCACACTTTGAGAAATTCATGGTCCAATAGCACTCTGGATGTACCTCTTGTGGTAGAATCTGGCTAACTGATTACCACATCCATCCTCTTTCTGAGTAGAGAGAATAACTACACTTCCTGGCTTCTCTTGCAGTTCGATGTGGCCATATGATGGAGTTACAGCCAATGGGATGTGAGTAGAGGTGATGTGTGTGCATCTATTTCCTCTTCTGCTGCTAACCACTACACCCAGGAGCAGAATAGACTAAAAGAGGGAAGGATCCTGGATCCCTGAACTCTGTCTTGGAGATGATTTACACACTGATCAATCATCCATTTTAAAATATGAAATATTATGAATGAGAAATATTTACTTCATATTTGAACCAATATGTGCTTTTTTGTTACAGTAGCTAAAATTAGCTTAAATTGTGTATCTTTCTTATAGATTTTACATTTTACTGTAATTGTTTCTTATATTGAAATGTGAGCTTTCAAAGGGATTTAAATTTTTTTATCATCCTATGCATATTACAGTGACTGACTTACAGTAGGATATCAGATTTCCTTTATTAATTAGTAAAGATGATGTTTTTATTTCATCATTCACCTTTCAATTTATAGAGCACCTGCTGTAAATATCATTTTACTTTCTTGTTCCATAAAAAAGAGAACTGGAGAAAGAATAAAGCTAATTTAATTATGCTTAGACTTTAGTTTCTTTCTTTGGGGCATATATGGTAATGAGTAGGGGAAAGGGAAAGATATGCTGCAAGGGTGTCTTTAGCTTTATCCCATGGTATGTGTGACCTTTCCATGACAGATTTGATGTCCATGAGAAATACGATTGTACTGAATGAAATAGGGGTGAGAAAAAGGGTGTAGAGAAGGGAGGAGAAGCTTCAGTGAAGGTGAATGGGCACTGAGCACAATGAAATGGAAAATTATAAGATAGATTAAGGCATTAAAGGTAAAAACATGTGCATACATATATAGGAAGCATATATTATATGTTGCTATAGCTGGCTATACAATCTACCTTTTACATAGGCTTACTCTTGTGTGGCACTGTGTTAGACTTTCCATACATTATTCATAATCTTCATAACAATTTTCATAAAGTATTATCTTCATTTTACAGTCCAGAAATTAAATTTCAGAGAGGATAGATGAATTATCTGATGATTTGAACTCACATTCATCTGGTTTTGAAGCTCAGTTTTTTCCTGTTTCATTACATAGTGCAAAAAATATGTTTAGGGAGACTTTGTGATGAAATATTTACAACAAAATTATCCTGAAAAATCCAGGCCTTGTGGTTTTTGTAGGTACTCTGTGGAACTTTACAAGCAACCAAACTAGAGAACTACATTGCTTGGATTACCTGCCTCTATGAGAGGCAGTCACACTGGATGTGTGAAATTCTTTGGGAATGGATGACGGAGTAAGGGGCACTGTTTGGGAATCATCACATGCTTGCTGAAACAGAGGCAGAAATGACATTGTTTGTTTTTTCACCAGTAAGGCAGGAGAGGACTGTGATGGGCATTACTACATCAAAACTTAGACAGGGTATTAGGAAGCAAAACCTTAGGTTTCTTGACTTCTAAACCTCTGCCTTTCCGACGGACTAGGCCTCCCTACACTTGGAGATGTGGGTCAGACATTTGCATGGCCTGTGTGAAGATGTGGCTTAATGGCCATTTTATATTCCTTTAAATGTTAAACCCTTTTACAGTATATTCTTTTGGGTTGATCTTTGAAACTACAATCTGGGTACAGGTACCTCAGTGTATTTTCTAATAGATCTAACTGTATATATTTTTTATAAGGAAAGTCAATGGATCCCAAATTCTGAATCTAGCTTCATTATGTTATCTTACAATTTTGTTTTCTAAATAATCCATTGGGAAATAATTCCTTACTGAGTCCACCATGAATTTCCCTTGCATTTTTCAATAGCCATTGCAGGTCTCATTCTGAAATGTAATCTAATGAGTTCTTAAAGTAATATTCTTTCCCCCTTTCTAATTGCAACATTATTCCTACTTCACATAACACTATTATGTTTGTATTATTCCCAAACTGCTTTGTGTACGTAAATCTTGTTGTCCTCATTGAATTGTAGGAGCTGGGAACATATCTTGCTACTACATGTAAACTTCTTGAAGGCAGAGCTTTTACCTCTATAAATTCCTGTAGCTCTAGAGTACTTGCACATGTACTAATTACATAAAAATATTTGGCCAAATGAATTTTACTTCTTTTGGAGTCTCATATTGCTTGGTACAATGCTAGGTCCATAGCAAAGTATCTACACAACTGTAATCCCCATATAAGCAGTCTTAATTTTTCTTTGCTGTGCCCTAGCTCTTCGCACAGTGACTGGCCCATCGATGGCACTCAGTAAATACACGTTGAGTAAATGAATAGATGTTATGAATATTTATTGCATGGTTTCCCTGAATTCCCCTTCCATTCCTCTACATCTACAAAGGAAACCTCATAGATGAAAGCTTCTCCATTTCTAATGTGCATATAAATTGCCTGGGGAGCTTGATAAAATACAGATTCTGTCTTAGTAGATGTAGAATGAGTCTGGATTTCATAAGAGTGGGCAAGGCATCTCTAACTACATCCCAGGTGATGCCCCAGGAGTCTATAGATCACATTTTCAGTAGCAAGGATATCAACAAGCCCCCAAAAGATGCAGGCTTCCACATTTAAGTTGAACCCTGTTACTGAAATTTAGCAGATGTATTTCATAAAATGCGTTTAAAGATCCTTATTTTTTAGCCTCTTGGGAAAGAGAATCTGGGGCACAAAATTTGTATGCACCAAGATGAGAATTATATAGTTATTGAAATATCACCACCAACAACCAGTCATCCAGATCTGCTACATAAGTATCGATCAAATTTAATTCTCCTCAGTGTTAGGTCTGATGAAAATACAGCCATAAATGTAAGGGGGAATCCCAGAAAGGCTGACATTTGAAGACCAACTAATGATGTTGCCACAAATTTTATGTGTATGACAAAGAAGCAGTAACAATGCTGGGAGAAATTATACAGGAAGATTATCAACAAGAATTAAGATCCCTAGCTATTGAAAAAGGAAAGAAAAAAAATCTTCCGGTGCTGTGTGAGAGATCAGCTCAGCTCATTATTCATTTTTGAATTTGTCTTACTCCTGATAACCAAAGAATGTCAAACTAATTGAAGTGAGTTAAAGTCTTGGGACCAAGAAGAATTTGAATGTAAATGTTTAGCCATAATTGTGCTATAGAGTAGATAACAATTTAAAACGATATCTTGTGTTTTAGATACTTTATTTCAGGTGCAAATATCTATAACTCACCATACCCAGCACTTAAAGAAGTGTATTTATTAGCTGTCATTTGATGACCTCTTAGCTCCTCTCATAAAATAATCTTTTGCAATTAGGGCTGCTGTCTGTCCTCTAAATATTTTTAAATGCTAGTTGGCAAGCTCCATGGTATGCAAGGTAAGGTAGAAAATAATAGGTTCTACTGGTTATTAAGCAGTGCTATGTTGTAGTCAAAAGTCAAAGGGCTCAATTCGGTCATAAAAGGAGCTGATTTTTTATTTGTTGTTATTGCAATAGAAACTGTAGTAGTCATCATTATTGCTACTATTCTGTAGAAAGACATTCATTTTAGAAGCTCTGAGTACATTTTCAGAATGTGTAATCAAATTTACTTCACTCATTTGTACATATCATAGAATATTTTGAATATATTCAGTAATGCCTTGATATTGACTCTCATGCATGCAACTTTACACCATACCCAAGATGTAAATATACCAAGACCATGTCTGAACAGAGTTTAACAGATAGTTGAGTAGAATAGATCTTAGGAGGTGATAAAAATTAGATATGTCTGCCCCATTTTCCTCTCATATTTTTTGTCTCTGGCCCTAAATCTCTTTCTGGTCTTGATCATCGCAAACTTCATTCTCCCATTAATGAAACTTGAGCTATGAGAGAGAGATTATGGATAAAAAGAAGCAAAGACAGCATTAGTGTATTAGAAGAGCTGGTGGCAAAAGGAAAAGTGCAGGTGAGGGGGAAAGCAAAAGGTAGGGAAATTTAAGGATTAGAGAGAAGGATATCTCGACCTTGAAGAGTCAGGGTAGGGGAAAGAAAGTAATCTGGATAAGGAAAGAAATAAAGCCAGTTTTAATGTATCCCAAAAGTCTCAAGACAGATTAAGACTTATTAAAATAAACCACAATAGCAGCTTTTATTCTCTTCCACCCACTTTAACCTCAAAAACAAGTTCCTTGGAGATTTCGGTTATTGGATTAGTCATTATCCTAGACACTACTCGTATTATAATTCTTGACAATTTCAATAACTATGTAGACAATCCTTCCAAGTTCTTCACCCCCATGCCTTGACCCTTTTTCAATCTTAAGCCCCTTCCTCTCAGACTGCTATCATCATCTCTCCAGCTCATACTTCTAGAACCATGCCTGCAAGGTTCCTTGGATATCACAAGATCATGTGACTTTCTCACTGTCTTTCACTTCTCTCAAGTCAATAGTTCCCTCCTTATTCAGCTTAATTCCATTGTCTATTGTTAGAATACATTCATACACTAGCAAACATTCTTCATTCCCTTTTCCTTCTCTTTCTTTGTAATACTAGTAATTTAACAAAACTTCATCTCTGGTTAATTCTAACTCTGCACTTACTCTTTATCTGCACTCCTGAGGTGAATATGACTAGAGAAAAATACACAAAATGCTTCACTATTATTCTCAAACAGCTCCTATTTCCCTGATCTGTTCACACTCTCACTCTCCAAGATGGTTATTTCATAACTTCTTCTCTGTCTAAAACTTCTGCCACCTCCTATCCAATCTTCTATCTCATCTCATCTCATGACTTTGCTTCCCTATTCACTGAGAAAATAGAAATAATCAGAAGAGAACTTCCATAAGCTTGCATCACTGTGTTTAACTAACCTACTAAAGCCTGTGCCCATAAACTCTGCCTTTCTTTTTGTCACTGTGGTCCATATTCCTAAGATTAACCTTCCACTTGTACTTTAGATACAGCATTTTCTTCTCTATTGGAAGATCTCATTTTTCCTTGCTATTAAATTATTCCTACCAGCTTACAAAAATGATGTTATTCCTTCAATTAAAAACAAAAAATTTTTTTTGGCCTTGCTTCCCTCTCTAGCTACCTTCCTCTCTTAAATTCATTCCAAGTAAAATTAGTTTTCTTATAAAAGAGACCCCAGAGAGCTCCCTTGCTCCTTCCACTATGTGAGGTCACAGAGGGAAAGCAGCTGACTCTGAACCAGAAAAGGGCCCTCATCAGACACGAAATCTGCCAGTGCCTAGATCTTGGACTTCCCAGCCTCCAGAACTGTGAGAAATAAATTTCTGTTATTTTTAAGCCACCCAGTTTATGGTATTTTGTTACAACAGCCTGAAAGGCCAAGACAGTCTCTTAACTCCGACCTCCCTGTTTCATTCATTTTCCCACTATGTTTGATCCTCAACAGCGAAGCTATTATTTAAAAATATAAATCAGGTGATATTACCCTGTTCATAACCTTCTGATTGCTTCTAACCTCATTCCAAATAAAAGAAAAAGTCTATAATGTTTACAAGGCCCCTTGGTACTTCTTTGACTTTCTTTCTTACTATTTTCTGCATTGCTTTGCTCTATTATTCCTTGAATATTCCAGGCTTATCTCACCTTGGGACATTTATACGGTTTGTTTCTTCTGCATGGAATAGACCTCCTTCTAGATAGCCACATGACTTACTTTTCACCTCTTTTTCGTCTTATTTCCCAAGCCACCTTCTTATGACTTCTCTGACCAATCTCAAATTGAAACCCCTGACCTCTCCATTTCCATCTCCTGCTTTTATTTTCCTTCATGGTATTTATCAGCATCTGATACTATTTGTTATTATTTGCTTTGTTTATTATCCCTCCTCTAGAACATGAGTATTTTCTATTTGTGAACTACTGTATGCCCAGGAATACACTTCTAGGTCCCTAATGAGTATTTATCAAATGAACAAGTAAAGTACAATTCTGGTGTTCTTTCCTTGTGAGTAGCATACAGTATAAGGAAAATCTTAACTCGAGGTACTTTTGCAAGAAGATTCTAAGGTTATTAATTTAACACAGCACTAAACCATCCTAATTAAATGAGAAATATCCAGCTGGTTATCCAGCTGTTTTCACGGCTCACAGTAACCCACTGTTTCCAATCTCTCCCTTTAGTTACTAGAATGGTTTTAGGATCACTGGATTCCTGGTAACTAAGCCTAGGTCACAATTTCACTGCACAGGCTGAAAAACCATGAGACAAAAGATTTCGTTTAAATGTAGAAACCAGTAGAAAATGGGATCCAAGATTAAAATTCACTTTCAGTAAATTGTAATCAATTGAGTAAACAGTACTCAATTGAAATCAATCAATTCTATATCAGGTAATATATATAGTAGTCACTAAAAACACAAATAAGTTCAGTCCCTCAACACTAGAAATGCCTATGTGCTCAATTTCTATTTGAATCTCTCTTTCTTCTATGTAAATTTGGGAATATTTATGTAGATATTTATGTAGAAAATATTTACATTGTATTTTGACTGAAAATGCATGAATAATTTATAAGCATACCTAATGCACTGTCAGGAATTTAGGTTATCTTTCCTCCTTTCTATTTTCATTGTTTGCAATGATTTTAATACTTCTTGTGGAGCAAAGTAGTTCTGTGTTTTCTGTCAGAATTTCAGCCAGTATCAGTCAGGGGAGAGAGGCTTTTGGTTGGTGTTGTTTTCAGTGGGAATCTACTTCTTGCCTCGATGCTGATATTAGACTTGGAGACTGACGTTAGTGGCCTAGAAGAGGCCTGGGTACTACTTTATTTGTCCAAGGTAATAAACGGTAGTCTTCCTACTTTTTAACCTTCCTAAGATGAAAAAAAGCAGAAAGACCTAGATTCATAGAGCTTCACATAGAATGTAAAGGAAGGGAAGAAAGAAAGGAGATGCTGGAGTCTTTCAGTACAATTTTATCATTCTGAAGATTTCATTGAGATATTGATACAATTTATCTTCTTATGCAAATAGAATTTGGGCTCATGGGTATTTCTCTCTTGAGGGACTGAACATACATGTATTTTTAGTGGCTGCTGTGTGTTTTACCCGGTACAGAATTGATTGATTCTAGTACAGTCAACTAGAAAATGAATTTTCCTGTTAATAACATGATGGCCAAGTCCTGCCTCTCCATCTCTCCTTTACCTTAGCTCCTTGTGCATTTGACCATTGTCTCAAGATGTCCTGAGGCAGAGGATATCCTTCCCACTCTTACTATGGTCTGTCCTCTCCCCTAGGCCATCTTGGACTTGGATCTCCCATTCCCTAGTTTCTCTCTGTAGATCAGAATTTTTCCAAAGCCTTTAACCTCAGCTTTCTTAGCCACTCTGTGTTGTTCAGGAGTTCAGCTGCATGTGTGTGGAAGAAGGTGGCTGAATATAGCCTCAGGTAGGAGGTGAGAGGCAGGGGAGTCATGGGAGACTGGGCTAGGCAGGAAGACTGGGGCAGGAATCCTGGTGCAGAGTTGGTCCAAGCAAAAGGTAATCCAAGAGAAGTAAGATGAGTACTCATACCTTTAAAGTTTATGAGAGTCATCATTTTTTAGTAAGAAATGATGAATAACGAAAAAATGCTCCCAGAGAAAAGTGTTATGGAACATACATATATGAGCACTACCAAGTGAGAAAAGACAAACTAAATTTCACTTAACTATTTAATTGTAATCTTGAGGGCTCACTGTGGTGTGCTCTGCTTCTATGGGACGGTTAGCTTTCAGTGAATTTTCCGGACATGTGTACTTGTTACAAACACTTTAGCTAATTATTTCTATCTCTCTTGTTTGTGCATATCTTGGCTAACATTATAGAAAACATCATTTCTAAGGAGAACTTGAGATTTGTATTTTTTTCTGTTTTTAAGATTGTGTGAAGGAATAAATGTCTAATTTTCTCTTGCAATGCTGTATCATGTGGGTTTTTAAAAAACCTTCACACAGTATGAATGAAAAACCAGAATGTTAGAAACTTGCTAATAATATAGTACTAATCAGAGTTAATTATGTGTTGAATGAATAATTGGTATGTTAGATAAATAATATATATTAGTTTGAAATCAGTATCCATTCCAAAAACATCTTTTGAGCATGTCCTGTGTGTTAAGTGGTGGAGATGAGAGAAGCATTAGATAGGGCCCTGCCCTTGAAAAAGCCCACTGCAGTGATTCTTGGAGCTTAGTGTATGTAAGAGTCACTTGAAGAGTTGACTAAAGTAGAGATTCTCAGGCTCCACCCAGAAAGATTCTGATGCAAAGAGAGTGAGAATGAGCCAGGAATCTACATTTTAAATAAATATCTCAGGAGATTCTAATGCAAGTGGTCTTATTATCATGCTTGGAGAAATGCAGGTCTAACAAGATAAACAGATGCATGAACTGGCAAATTACAAAATGCAGTAAATGTTCTGGCAAAGAGATGGTAATTGATACCCATCAAGTCTCCCTATCTAAAGAAGTCAAGGAGGGTCCCTTAAGAAGAAAACACTGGACTAGGGTCCTGGAGGGTGAATCAGAGTTTTCCAGATGCAGAAGAGGATGAAGAACATTCCAGATCTCAGGCAAAAAAAAAAAAAGTGTGGGAAATGTGATGGTGGCATCAAGAGAACGGCATGACACTCATTGTGAAAGGAACAACCCAGTGTATGGAGGGCAGCAGCAGAGTGAGGCCAGAAAATAGGTTGAATCCCAATCCAACATGTTTGTATATTTAAAACTATAAGCACTTGGTAATCAAAAGAGACTTTTGAACAGGAGCCAGAAAGAATCAAATTATGTCTGTGAGCCAAATCTCTCTTTCTGCATGGTAAAAGATGGACTGGAGAGATAAGAGCCTGGTGGCCAGCAGAAAAATACAGAACTGTGGCAATAATTCATGAAGTGGATTACCTTCCAACCCTGAAATGACACCAACACCCACCCATTTTCTCAAGCAAGATACTTATGAATCATTTCTGATTCCTCCATTTTTCCCAACTACCACACACCATCCAACAACATCGAGTCCTACTGCTTATACTGAAACATTTATACCAAATCCACTGGCTTCCATTCACATCTGCTGCCATCAGCTAGTTCGGTTACACTTCCCTCATTTGAATTCCAACAGCCTCTTAAGGGATCACTAATTCCACTTTCCTCTTAGTAGCAAGAGTAATAATAAACAAGTGAATTACATTGCATCAATCCTTTGCTTAGAATAATTCATTTCCTGTCAAATCTATCTAGAAGGGAATCCAAATTATTTTTCAGGACTTCAAGATCCTGCATCATCTCACTATTGTTTTTCTCCAAACTAATCTCACAGTACTCTCTCCCAAGTTCATTTTCATCCAGTCACAAAGGTCAGCAACATTTTCCCACCTCACTACCTTAGCATAAGTTTATGCTATCCCCTTCACTTAGAATGGTCTTAACTCTAAAGACTCTCACAAAGCTGTTTTATGTTTATCATTTAATTTATGCCCAAATGTTCCTTCCACAGAGTCCGTCCTGACCATCCTATCTGATAGTAGATTTTGTATATTCTTATTCTTCTCCCCTTGTTTGTTTCATGCATGAAAATTGTTAAAATGTATAATTGTTTTCATTCATTTTCTTGTTCGGTTGTTTTTTGTCTGTCTCCTCCACCAGACTGTAATCTCCATGAGGGCAAAGATCATGTCCTTTTTATGTATTCTTGAATTCCCTAGGGTAGTGGTTAGAAAAGAGTAAATGCTCATATATATTTATAAAAGAAATAATGAATGAATGGATTATTGTGATATGATGGAGCGATAGAGTCATCAGTGCATTAATGGCAGTTAGAGGCTCAGAAAGTCAGTGAGATCACAAATAAAGCATGTGGATCTAAGAGGAGTGTGGACAAAATATAGAAGGAAAATCCTAATAATTATGGAGCAGACAGAAAAGAAGGGGCTTGCTAAAGAGGGAGAGGAGGCCATCAGTGGCTTGAGAAAAGAGAGAGGACCGATAGACGATAAGGGGGTGGCTACAACATGCCACATGCTCTGCTGGATCTCCAGCACCTAGCATAATGCCTGGAGTTTAGTAAGTACTCCCAAAACATTTGCCCATCTATGAGATGAAAGATAAAATAAGAATAGATTCAACAATACCAAATGCTAGGAGGAAACCAATAAAGGTAAGGTGTTAGTAATTAAGATGCTACTGGCCACCTTAACAAGAACATTTACTTTCCAGCATACTATCAAATGAATTTGTTTAATCCATTTATTTCTATTGCTTGCTTCCTCTGCTAGAATGTACACTCCATGAAGTCAGGAAATCTTTCATTCTTTACTGATGATACCAAGCTCCCAGAATAATTCCCGAAAAAGGCATGGAGATGAATATTGGCCTTTTCTTTAAAGCCTCAGTGTATACACAAAAAGAATTGTTTTTAAGAAAGCTTATTTCTTCAGTGAGCCCAGATAATAAGAACATCACTATATCATCAAATCAGCCCATTGTTCTACCAGTGAATCAGCTGAATATTAAATGATTCTAGGACTTGTGCGCAATCATCCCCACAGATTTACTGTGTGATCTGGAGATAGGTTTAAATGTCAGCAGCCATTATTTATTGTTCAATCTGCTCAATGCAAGTCAGTCCTTTAAATCTTTTTATGCAACGACAATAGCAAAGACCAGAGGGCCCTATTTTGTCTTTATCATCATGACACACACCCCTTCGTGCTCACTGAAGCTATTGTAGATAACATTATCTCCCCCTCTCTCCACTCTCCCAATTATTTAAGGCCAAAAGAGACACAAGTTTTATGTAGATCAAGGGTTCACTACCCCAGAGAAATCTACAACAACCTTTTCTAATCAATGTGACTAGTCTCACAATTGGCAGATTATTGTCAAATGTAATTTATTCATTTTTAAACTTAGACTATGCTTCTAATGGCTCTATTTTCTTTCTTCACATTTTTCTTGAGCTTTCCTGAGAAACAGATCTGTTTATATTTCCTGGACTTAACAGAGAAATGTGAAATGGTCTTTCTCATGTGTCTGGTGGTTGAACCCTCTTGTAGTTCTGAATATGTTTTTCAACTACTTTAAAAAAAATTAACTCTAAAATTGGACAAAGTTTTAAATTGACTCATGTTGATTTATATTTCTCCATGTTGAAGAAAATGCTACCTGCTAATAGACTAAGGAGGTTTGGGATAGCAAAAGGGAGGGAAGGCAAGTGAGCAGGATGGTGTGAGGAAATGGCAAGTAAAAGGATTAGGAGGGATGGATGCACAAGAAATTTAGAAAATACTTTGGAGGGAGAAATAACTGACTGTGAGCGTGTTTGTACAGAGAGATTGAATATTTTAAGACTAATCATTTATACCTCTGATTTTTAAATAACAGGTGTGCGTCATATATTTAGATGTCAAAAAACTATTGCTACAAGTGACAACAGAGCCAAAAGGATTGCAATAGCAGGACATCAATTCATCAGGACTGCAGAGGAGAGGAGGCATATGTTCTGACTACTCTCCATTGATTGGTCAGCTGCTGTTTCCATAGCAATCCATGCACAGCTCAGACATTTTTTTTTCCCTATCTGCATTACCTCCATTACATAGCAAACAACATCAAGATTAATAAACAGACATACTTGGTGAATGTAATCAGACACTGAAGCCACTGTTCTCATGGCTGATTTTCTAACTGTAGAAAGTTACAGTCTATATCACACTCCAATCACTGACGAAGCAGCAAAGAAATCATATATTTTGTCATATTGTTGGGAAAAATGACTTCTATCTAGATATTTTCTTGGACCACATCCATATGTTTAGGAAAATAATGGAGTGTGCTTTAAGCTGGAAAGAGTGAATCCACTAGGGTTTCTTCAAATTTCTTCATTTACATGTATATTTAGACTTGCATGTAGAATGAGCACATTTATTTAAGGTGTGGCTGGCATCTAAATAGTTCTTTCAGACTATTTAAAACTATTCCTCTGCATTGTGAATCTGAAAATGTAATAATTGCTCATCCTCAGAAACTTGAACCAGAAAGATATTTTTCGTCCAAGTAGCTTGATGCACTGTTCTCTTCTCTAAATGCAACCAAAAATTTCTGAGTCCTCATTGTAGTGGAATTTGTTGCTGTAGTGGAAGTGGCCATCTGCTTTCCATTTACTCTGCTTTTGAAAACAGTACTTGGTTTATCTTTGGGGAAATTATTCCATCCTTTACTCTGAGGTCATGTACTTTGAGGCAGCTAACTCCATTCCCAGCTCCAGGGGTGGGTAGCAGTTTAGCTCAGGAATGACATATCCGGGTCTAATGTTCCCCTAGCAATGGGGCCAAGAATGGGGTCAAGGCCAATCCAGGAGGCAGGACCAGAGTTAATAGTGGAACTTTTGCCTGAGCAACTGGAAAAGAGGCAAGAGTCATTTTGTGGACTTTGGTCTGAGGGAATGAATCTGGAGCAGCTAGAGAGAGAACCTGCCTGGGAATGAGGCCATAAAGAGGAGAGCAGAAACAGGAAATCAAGAGAAAGCTGTAAAATGGGAATCATAGTTGTATTTTCTTCATAGAATGTTGTGAAAGTTAAATGAGTTAGTTATATAAAGTATGTAACAGTCCCTGACATGTAGAAACTGTTCAAGAAATGTTCGCTATTATTGGTATTAACATTGTTTAAACCCTTGGGTCAAACCGTACCTAAAGTCAGGCCTTATCCTTGGGCATTTGAGTTATATGGACCAAAAACTTTCTCCTACCTCATCCCCTCAGTTTTAATTGGTTTTCTGTCTTTTGTAACTGAAAAAAAATTTTTTCTCTCTCTTTATATATATAATGTGTATACAATACTATATATTATATATATGTAAGAAAGGAACATACATTAATCTAAAATTTGTATTCCTTACTCAGCTATTCTACTTACAGGCATATATGTAAAATGTGGGTGACATTTATGCACAGAGACAGTCATTGTAGTGTGAAAATATAATAACAAAAAAGCTCAAACTCCTAATTTGTCAATAAAAAACAGGAAAGATGAAGTACTTTAAGGTCTATCTATAGAATCATGTTTGTGCTGTCATTAAAGTTACATCCAGTAACTATTTTTAATGTGTTGGCTTCTGATGTTGTGATGTTACGTTAAATGAAAAAAAAAAACAACAGAACACACAGCATGTATTTATAGTATGTGTGCATGATCTCAAATATATTAAATAATTATATTAAAAAGACTTTTCTCTGTGTCTTGGAACTATGCGTGAGTTGTTTTCATTTTATTTTTCAGCATTTTATAAATTATATATAATAAGCACTTAGTATTGTAAATATTATTTATCTATACATTTATAGATTTTACATAGTCCAAAAATAGATTTGCTGTTATTTTAGATCTATATTTAGAAAAGGGAATTTTGGCAAATGAAGAAATAAAAAGAACATTTTGAAGTGTTCTCTAATTTTATCATTTTTGAGATTTTATTGGAAGTTCAGGCTGAGAAGTTGTAGCTTACTCAACATCTCCGTATTTGGCAGACATTTAAGACTCAGAAGACATGGATGTGAATCATAATTTTTAACTCTATTATAGCTTTTTTTTTTCTGTACGCAGTAAAAAGTGGACACAGATCTAAATTTGCATCTGGTTTCCATAGTAACTGCTTTTTGGCTTTTAACATTAGGCATCACCTGTTTTTCTATGGACAAACCTCCAAATAACATCACAGGCTACAGAGAGGAAAAGGGATGCACACACTTGTCTAAAATAGCACTTCTCTGGTGTACTGTTTCTCACTAATAGCCACAAAGTATCATATACCTAAAATATCAAACACACTATCATATACCTTTTTAATATGTTTGTACATACAGCAACTGCATTTTATAAATTTAAAATATTAAATGTTTACTCTCATGCACTGTTATGCCAATACGAATCTCACAACCAAGCATAACAGAACATTACAGAGCTGCAGAACTATGCTGTGTATTTTACGTGATACTTGAAGATTCTGAAAATTACAACATAGTTAAAACTCACACAAGCTCTCTGGTTTTCTAGATTTGCACAAGAAAACACACACAGAGTCACACTTCTAAATATATCAAGTTATTTTAGAAATTGTGCAAACCCTTTTTCTCTGATTCATTTTTAGTCTTTCCTATTTGCAAGCAAACCAGCTGTTGGGGAAGACTTAAGGGTTTTCCTTAATTAAGATGATTTCTCATTGCTCTGATTTAAAGACCCTGAATTATAATAGGAGGAGTCTCCCTCCCTAAAAAGACTTTTTTTGCAAAGGGCAAAATAATTTTCAGAAACTGGCTTACTTAGGTTTTATCATCCCTTGGATATATGTGATTAAACTTTTAAGGTCAGTTAGAAAAAAACCTCACATGAATTATGAAAAAAAAAAAGATCAACTGCTCAAAATAGTTTATAGCATATATTATGAAAGAATGTGGCTCACAGTCTAAAACAATCAATTTAAACAGGATTATTTCAGCTGTAAATTGAGTATATGTATTATTTTTTATTTCTCTATTTGCTTCCCAACATCTAATTTTTCCTATCATCAGGTTGTTAACGCAGCCTCTTATCAATCCAGCATCTAAGTCAGGAATTCTGATCAGGTTCTGTCTGTCAGTCTTAACCTCTTAACTTCTGATGTTCATGTTGCTTTTGTAAATGCAGAATTCCCCTCCCCACTATGCCTTTTTCTCTTCTTTCCTCTCCATTGCGAAACAGTGGAAAAAGGATTTTTTGTTTTTTTTTTTAAGGCGAACAGGACTAGTTCAAGCCCCAGCTTCACACGTATGTTGGTCCATTTTCTGCTGCTTGTAATAGAGTACCTGAAACTGGGTAATTTATAAAGAAAAGGAATTTATTTCTTACAGTTATGGAGGCTGAGAAGTCCAAAGTCAAAGGGCTGCATCTTGTGAGGGCCCTCTTCATGGTGGGGACTCTGCAGATTCCCGAGTTAGCAAAGGACATCACATAGCAAGGCGGCTGATTGTGCTAGCTCAGATCTCTCTTCACCTTCTTATAAAGCCACTAATCTTATTCCCATGATAACCCATTAATCCATTAACTAATGAATGGATTAATCCATTCATGAGGGCAGAGCCTTCATGACCCAATCGCCTCTTAAAGGCCCACCTCTCAGTACTACCACATTGGAGATTAAATTTCAACATGAATTTTGAAGGGGACAAATATTCAAACCATAGCCATGTGACTTGTCTGAGCCTCATGTTTCTCTGAAGATAGAGGTAATAAGACCAATTTCACATAGTAAAGTGAGGATGAAATATAGCAAAGCATATATTACTAAGCATGATACTTAGGAGGCACTCACAAGTTTTATTTCCCTTATCCTTCTTCACTTCCAAGGTTTTCCAAGATCCTCAGTTGGAGGTTAAAGCAGTCAATTCCTGGTACCACTCAGAAACCCGCAATTTTCCCTTCCATACAGCTGCTACATGGCCTTTGTCCTTATCTCCACTTTCTTACTAACCACCGAGGTAGCGCAGCAGGGTGACCCCAAGGCTTCAGGGAAATGAAATGTATTTCTTTCTCATAAACAGTTATAACCTGCTGGTTCAAATCATGGTAAAGCAGAATGTAACTTCCAGATCCCTGAAAAGAAGCAATCAAAACAGGATTAAAGGAGACGGTATTTGCAAAGTGCTCAGCACAGTGCCCAGCATACAGTAAATGCTCAGTAAATGTTATCCCTTCCCATGGATTATTTTTGGAATGAATGGCTAAATAGGTCAGTAAGGGCACCACAAGATGTTTAGTTGAACAGCATTAAATGAATTAATAATAATGATGACCGTGAATATGAAACCAGTTTCTGGTTAGATAGGAATTTGCAGAGATGAAATTTCAGATGAAACATAAAAGGTAGGATATATCATTTCTCTCAAGACAAAGTGGTAGATTAAATTAAGGAGAGATAGAAACCACAATACTTTTACTTCATTCACAGCTGAAGTCAATATAGAATGACTCCCCAAAAATATTTCATCTTGGATTTTAGAAATATGATTCTGGAACATAATAATCTCTAATGTGAACAAGAGTGAGAGATGAAATTGTTCTGAACTTTTCAAGATAGCTTCAACACTCTGTCAACTTTACCATTAAAACAGAGAGAAAAAAGAGATTAAAAAGAAAAAGTTGTATTGCTGGTCTGAAAGCTGTAAAGATGAAAGTTACTCATTCCACCCCCAAATCCTCCCACTGTAGTCTGAAGGAATATTGGTGATAAGAAAAATATTATAGCTTGCTTAGAATGATAACATTTAGCTGGGCATTATGGCTCATGCCTGTAATCTCCCAGTACTTTGGGAGGCTGAGATAGGCAGATCTCTTGAGCTCAGGAGTTTGAGACACACCTGGGCAACAGGGTGAAACCCCATCTCTCCAAAAAAAAAAAAAATACCAAAAATTAGCCGGGCATGGTGGCCTACACCTATAGTCACAGGTACTCAGGAGGTTAAGACTAAGGATGAGGATTGATTGAGTCCAGGAGTTTGAGGCTGCAGTGAGCCATGAGTTCACCACTGCACTCCAGCCTGGGCAATGGGAGTAAGACCTTGTCTAAAAAAAAAAAAAGGATGATAACACTTTAGATGCCAGAAACATCATAAAGATACTCCAGATCAGAGACTCTTAATGTGGAGTGCATGGGATAAATTTGGGGGAGTGTCTGAACTCTCTGAAATTATGTGCCAAATTGTGCAGTGTGTAGTGTGAGTGTGTTGGGGGGAAGGGGGTGTGGGTGTGGGGGTGTGTGTATGTTTGGAGAGAAATAATTTATTTATTGAGAGTCTAAAACAGTAGATGTAGCAATCAGGGCACTGATTTTGCTTTTTCCCTAGATAAGACTGTGGCTGAGCTGATACCATTTGATTCAAGAATAAAGAACCAATTTTCTGTAAAAAATTTTCTTAACTGGAAGTTCACAGGCTGTTAGTGTAAGCTCATCAATGGAGGTACAAGCCTTGAATATAAGGGAGAGTGACACAGCAAGAATTCCCCCTCTTGGATCAGGTGAGATTCTAATTTGCACAAATAGTGTCATCAGCCCCCTGTCAGGCACTTTAGGCCCAAGAGAAACTACACTGAGATTGATTGCATCTACTTCTGCTTTGTGTGGCCACCTCATTTCTCAAATATTTTGTATTTTTGGGAAAATAAGTTAGAAATCCAATCTAGCTTTGCAGAGGATGCCTGCCTGTGTATGGTCACTTCTTGCTAATCTGTAATATTGCAACATACATAAATCTAAGGAGAGAATCGGTGGCTTTTATCAGATTCTCAAATGGCACTTGACCCAAAGGGCTTAAGAACCATCTAGCTATAGGAATAAAATAATTTTACAGATATGAAAAGTGGAGTCTTAGAGAAGTTAGGAGATTTCCCTCAGAACAATTGGCAGAACCATGACTAGGAAACAATTCTATCTAGTCCCACTTCATTGCTTTTGCCACAAAACCCTAGGAGAAACTAAGGACTTTAGAGGCCTCATGGGTGATCAGGTGAGTTAATGTTAACATCACATCACTCTAAATTAGGACTAGGATGTTATTCCATGGGTTGTGTTTCTCCTTTTTCTTAGTCTTTGTTTCAGAAAGAGCATGATAAACCAGGGTAATCAGATAACTAGACAACAGTCAAAGCACCAGGGACCCATGGAATCTTACACAGATATATAAGTATATGAATAGAGTTGAAGATCCTCTGCTATTACTCAGTGAACAAACCCTAGGCATAAAAACTAACATGTCTCCCTCTTGGTTTTAGCTGCACCATGGAATGGCTTTGACAGCTAAAACTATTCTAGTGAGTTTATGCCTCCATCTCCAATGGTCTTGTCATTTATATCTCTAATGAGATTAACCCACTGGACTGTTTCTGGGAGTATTCCAGGGAAGGTCACTTATCACACTAACAGAACTTTTTACTCAAACAACATCTCAACCCAATGGTTTTTTGAGGTCTCTCCTTCTTCTAATAGCCTGCTCTTGGTTTTGGTGCCCTCTACATTTGTTTTTCTTCCTCTGACATCACCACCTCTTTCTGCTTGGGCTCATCTTTCTTGCTTCCCTTGATTACCCATCTTTCTTCACAGATTAAACGAGTATCCGACTGGGGTAACTAAATCGCATAGCTTGATAAATAATTTCTTGAGCTATTCATCAGCATGGCAACAAAAAGGGTTTCCCGCAATATAATATTAGGCAGCCTATTCTGAAGTCAGACAAATGGCCCATTTTGTGCAATGTTCATGTCATACAGAGTCACAGCAGGATGTTTGTAGAAACACATGGCAGCTCTCTATGAAGTAAAATCCTAATGGGCAAAATATTCTGAACATTCTCAACTTCCCCTTAGTAACCCATTCCATCAGTAACAACATAAAAATAATGTTTATTGAGTAACTACTGTATGCCAGACATTGTGCAAGCTTCTTTAAATACATTTTCTTATTTAACTATCACCATTAAATATCATGAGTACCATAATCCTCCCAATTTTATAGATGTGGAAACCTATTTAGAGAGTTTAAGTAGGTACTAAGGGGCAAAGTAAACTCAGTCCAGGTCAATAGGCCTCCACAGATGGTTTAATCATTATGCATATCACATGCACACATTTAAATATCTTAAAACATACGTATCATTAGTTCCAGTTTTAACCACTTCTTGATATTAACAAATTCCATTTTATGACTATAGCATACACTGTTTCTGTGTGTCTTTCATAAAAGGAGTACTTTGAAATTTAATAATGCAATTCATCTGGGTTAGCATTTGGTGAATGAGTCTACATTCATCTTATCACTCCAGGAGTCCCAAAATCTAATTAGTAGGAGTCCCAGAAAAAGAAAAAAGGAGATAGTAAGAAACAATTTCCTAAAGAAGTGATACAAGAATATTTTCTAGAATGAAAAGACATGAGTTGCAAGCCCACTGAATTTCTGGCATAGCAATTTTTAAAAAGATACTTCTGTCATGGAAATTCCAAACATTAGGTGTAAAAACAAGATCTTCAAAGCTTCCAGAGAGAAAAACAGATCACATAGAAAAGAAAAACTTCAAACTTCTTAGCAGACACATGCAAGAATCTGGAAGATAATGGAGACTTGCCTTTTACATTTTGAGAGAGACATGTTTGATCTGGAATTCTTTCTAGAGCTTCTAGAGGCTATACTTCACCAAAAATGGTAGATAAAACCAAGAATGAGGAAGACATGAAGCACAGGAGACAAGAAATGCAATAGTATAGAGGCAAAGGCAATCCCCAGGGTAACTGGGAAGGGAATGCCCAGCGTGGTGATTTTGCAGCAGACCTAGGAGCAACAAGTATAATTGGAGTAGGAAGACAGAGGGCTCCAGGAGACATAACACCAGAAAAAAAAAATAGAATTGACAGGATATGTGACAGGTTTAAACACATGGACAATTGAGAGATGCTTAATAGAGCCATTGAGGGAGTGTGGGAAAACTAGCCAGCAGACATCTTAGCATATAAAATACATTTTTTAATATATATTATATATATATTTATTTGTGTATAATCACATATATTATATATAAATGTATATATGAGGCAATTGATGGCTTCAGAAAAACAAAAACATTGTATATAGATAAAAGTGTGATAGTTTATTAGTTAGCACAACTATAAGCCATATTTATATAGACATAATAATAAAAGTGCTAAATGTGAACTAAACAAAATTAAGAAATGTGCAAGACTTGAATGAACAAACAAATAAACTTAAGAACAGAATAAAATACGTCTTGAGTAAGGAGAGGTATGCCATGTTCCTGATAAGGAGACTGGGTTTTATATAGAAGATACATTTCCCAAATGCATCTATAAGTGCAATGCTATCCTAAACAAAATGCCAAAGTGATGTTTTTAATGTAAATTTTTCAGTTGTTACTAAATTTCCAAAAAGTAAATACATGATAATTGCATTCAAGGTGCCTGCTCTCTAAAATATAAACATTTACTATAAAGTTTCAGTGATTTTGGCATCAGTCAAACAAAAAAAAAGACCCAGAGTCACATATGGGAATTAAATGACTCATAATTAGGGTGTTTAGAAGCAGAAAGGGACATACTAAATTAGTAAAAATCAAAAGAATTTTAGAGCAAACTGCTAAAGAATAGCCAATGCAGAGAAACAGACACTCTCATACATTGCAGGGACAGTGCTGCAACTTGGCAATATCTATCCAAATTCCATGCAATTACCCTTTGACCTTGCAAAGGTCTTTGCTCAGGATTATTACTAAAAATATAACATACATGGGAATATCAGCGCAAGACTTTTTTATTACAGCAAAAGACTTAAAGTGACAAAAATCTGATAGGAAGAAATGTTCTTAAGTGAAAAAGCAAAGTACAGAACAATATGTATACCATACAGGCATATATTATTGTGTGTGCTTCACTTTATTATGCTTCACAGTTATTGGGTTTTTTATAAATTGAAGGTTTGTGGCAACCCGGCATCAAGCAAGTCTATTGACACCATTTTTTTTTCAACAGTGTGTACTCGCTTCCTGTCTCTGTGTCAAATTTTAATAATTCTTGCAATATTTCAAACTTTTTTATTATTGTTATATCTGCTATGGTGACCTGTGATCAGTGATCTTTCGTGTTACTTTGTAATTGTTTTGGGGCACCATGAACAGCGCCCATATAAGACATTGAATTTAACTGCACTGTTGTGTGTGTTCTGACTGCTCCACTGACCTGCCGTTCTCCCATCTCTCTCCCTCTCCTCAGGCCTCCCTTTTCCCTATGATACAATGATATTGAAATTAGGGCAATTAATAACCCTACAATAGCCTTTAACTGTTCAAGTGAAAGGAACAGTCACATCTCTCACTTTAAATCAAAAGCTAGACATGATTAAGCTTAGCAGGCAAAGCACGCCAAAAGGCCACATAGCCTGAAAGCTAGGGCTCTTGTACCAAACAGTTAGCCAAGTTATAAATGTAAATGAAAAGTTCTTAAAGGGAATTAAAAGTACTACTTCAGTGAACACAGGAATGATAAAGAAGTGAAACAGCCTTCTTGTTAATATGAAGAAAGTTTTAGTTGTCTGGATAGAAGATCAAATAAGCCATGACATTTCCTTAAGCCAAAGGGTAATAACCCGGAGGGAGGCCCTGACTCTTCAATTCTATAAAGGCTGAGAAAAGTGAGGAAGCTGCAGAAGAAAAGCTTAAGGCTAGCAGATGTTGGTCCATGAGATTTAAGGAAAAATGCCACCTCCATAACATAAAAGCGCAAAGGGAAGCAGCAAGGGCTAATGGAGAAGCTACAGCAAGTTATCTGGATCTAGCTGACTCAGAAGATCTAATGTCGTTGATCAAGATGGCTACAGTAAACAACAGATTTTCAATGTAGATAAAACAGACTTATATAGCATTGGAAGAAGATGCCATCTAAGACTTTCATAGCTAGAGAGGAGAAATCAATGCCTGGCTTCAAGGCTTCAAAGGACATGCTACCTTATGTTAGGGACTAATGTAGCTGGCGGCTTTAAGTGGACCCAATGCTCATTCACCATTCTGAAAATCCTAGGGCCCTCAAGAATTATGTTAAATCTACTGTCTGTGTTCTATAAATTGAAAAACAAAACCTGGATAACAGCACATCTGTTTATAGCATGTTTTACTGAATATTTTAAACCCACTGTTGAGATCTATTTCTCAGAAAAAAAAAAAAAGATTTATTTCAAAGTATTACTGCTCATTGACAATGCACCTGGTCACCCAAGAGCTCTGATAGATACGTTAATGGAGATTAATGTTGTTTTCATTGCTGCTAATGCAACGTACATTCTGCAGTCCATGGATCAAGCAGTCATTTGGACCTTCAAGTCTTATTAAAGAAATACATTTCATAAGGCTATAGCTGCTATAGATAGTGATTACACTAATGGATATGGGCAAAGTAAATTGAAAATATTCTGGAAAGGATTTACCATTCTAGATCCCATTAAGAACATTTGTGATTCATGAGAAAAGGTCAAGATATCAACGTGAGCAAGAGATTGGAAGCAGTTGATTCCAACTTTTATGGATAACTTTGTGGAGTTCAAGACTTCAGTGAAGAAAGTAACTGCAGATGTGGTGGAAATAGCAAGAGAACTAGAATTAAAAGCAGAGGCTGAAGATGTGACTGAATTGCTGCAATCTCATGAACAACTTAAACAGATGAGGCATTGCTTCTTATTGTTGAGCAAAGAAAATGGTTTCTAGAAATAGAATCTGCTCCTGTTGAAGATGCTGTGAACATTTGGAAATGACACAAAAGATTCAGAATATTATGTAAGTTTAGTTGGTTAGGCAGTGACAGGGTTTGAGAGGATTGACTCCAAATTTGAACCAAATTTGAAAGAAATTCTGTGAGCAGAATGCTACCAAACGGCATTGCATGCTACAGAGAAATATTTAATGAAAGGAAGAGGCAATTGGTGTAACAAACTTTATCCTTTATTCTTATCAAACCTTCAGCCACCACCACCCTGATCAGTCAGCAACCATCAACATCAAGACAAGACCCTCTATCAGCAAAAAGATTATGTTTTGCTGAAGGTTCAGATGAATGCAAGCATTTTTGGCAGTATTATTAAATAAGGTATATATATTTTTTGAGACATAGTACTTTACATACTTAATAGACTTCATTATAGTGTAAACATAACTTTTAAATGCACTTGAAAACCAAAAACTTCACAGGAGTCTCTTTATTTGCTTTGTTGCAGTGATCCAAACTCATGGAACCAAACCTATTATATCTCTAAGCTATACCTGTACTACTACTTATGGGAAAAAAGGAGGATAATTGTCAGTGTATACATGCATGTGGATGTAACTGGAAGTGTACACACAGACTCTCTATACGTATTTGTTTGTCTATGTGTAAAGTATCCTTGGATGCTGATTACACTGGATTCTCCAAGCTAAGGGAATGATGGATAGCTAGGTGATAAATTTGGGATAAAAACCTTTCGCATGTACCAGTTTGTGACTCTTGGATTTTAACCATAATGCTATAAGTAAGCCAAGATTTTTAAAATATTGAAATAAAATTAGTCAGTATATGATGGAATTTTTACATTGATTTTGGGGTTTGAGTTGGGTAGTTCTTTGATATGCTAGTTAAGCATCACTGGTAGGAAGCATTTCCTGACACTGCTGCTAGGCAGAATTAATATGTGCCTTCTTCCATGGCACTTTGAACATCATTCTGTTATTGCCTTTTAAATATTGTATTATAGTTAGCTATGCATAATTTTGCCTCCTTTATTAGAGTGTGAGGGCTTCTGTGGGACAGAGATAGATAGATATTCATAGATGCATTTATTAATTCACTTTTTAAGTGAGTGCTAGACAAGGTGTTTATTCAACCATGTATCTTTGGTACCTGGCATTTATTAATTCACTTTTTAAGTGAGTGCTAGACAAGGTGTTTATTCAACCATGTATCTTTGGTACCTGGCCTGGTCATTGACATATAAGAACTCAATGTACTGCTTTTGAATGAATGTATGAATAAATGAATAATGTGAGTTCAGCAATTTACATAAGATTCAGGATGATAGCTCCACCAAATCAGTATTGTTCATAATCCTGAGGACTTCCAAAAAATACGAACACTTCTTGCCTCAAAATTAAGCTGCAACTATGTTGAACACAAATTTCAAATCTTTGTTAAAAACAATCTCTTAATCTACCTGCAGACAGATTAAATATATTCATCCAGACACAGAAGAGACCCTAAAGTTTCTTCAAATACTATTTCATTACTTTCCTTCTTGGTATATTTGCAAATACCATAATTAAATCAAACAGAATAAACTGACATAAGCAATTAACATTTTTAGTGTAAAATATTTTATAATTACAAGTATCATGTATAATTTGGGCAAAATCTTTCCCACAATAACCCTGGGAAGTAAGAGATTTTGATAGAGATAAGTAGATAAATGCAGCATGATTCCTACCAAGTCAAACAACATGTTTGCTTGTTGGATTGAACCCAAATGGATCTGTGCTCTAAAGCCACAGTTTAATCTGTTTCCTCTCTCAAAATAAAAAACATATTTAGGCTGAAACAGAAGAGGTAATAGAAAAATATTGGTAATCTCCAACCCAAACACCTCTGATAAGAGAGGATATGATGCGGAAGTACTGAGTCCAGTCCTAACTGACACACACACAGGTAGGGACTGACTACCTGGGTGGTGATGGGTATTTTGCTTGAAAACCATGATTGTAAGTGGCTTTTCACAGAATTCCTGGGATCTATGAAAAAGAAGATTTGTTAAAACATTGACTTTCTGAAGGAGTCAAATGGTCTTGCAGCTTCCTTTGCAGAGCTCTGTATTCGCCACTGTAACTTACTGCAGTTTCATGGATTTACCCCTCTGTCCCCATCCCCACCTCCCCTGAGAGTTCTTCTCAATGATATATATTATCATTTTTTGTTTTTGATCCCCAGTGCTTAGCCTAGTGCTATGCAGATAATAGTACTTAATAAATATGCAGACCAAAGAATACACTTCTTATTCAAAGTCAGTATGATATAGTAGAAAGTGGTCTACCCTTGGCTCTGCCCCTAAGAAGCAGATTCATCTAACACACGTCACAATAAATCCAGTTTCAATTTATTCTTCTAAAAAACAAGTGGGTCAATAGTTGACTTCTAGTAATATTTTTTATTTTAAAGTTCTATGATTTTATGTAAGTGTGACTATTGGAGCAGGAGAGAGGTAGGGTCATGACAGATCGAAAAAGAAATAAAATCTAAAACAGTAAGGTTGTATTAAATCCTTACTATGTACCTGGAACTGTGCTGAGCAAGGTCTTTACTTTCGCTTTTCTCATTTACTCTTTACAACAGCCCTATGATTCAGAAACTATTGAAACCCCATTTCATGCATGGAGAAGTAGAGGTACAGGGAGGTGAGTAACTTGGATGAGTTCACAAAGCTAGTCTGACTAAGCAGTTTGGGCTTTTTAATCACAACTCGATTTGTGCTCTACATAATTACAGTCCCAAAAAGATGGCTGGATTTACATCAACCTGAAAATGATGATCTAGCCTGTGGCATGTTAAGTACTCATGATAGATTAATAATATAATTGATTTCTTATCAGGAAATCTAATTTGTGTAACTGTATAATATCCTCCTCTTCCTTTTTCCCAAGACTTTAAAAGGGCATAAATATTTAATCCTCTAGTTCTTTTTATCAGACTCACTGCATACTAAGATATGGGCAGCTCCGGGTGGGCTTAGTCAGCTCTAAGTATAGGTCTACAGCCAGGATGGATGAATTCAATATAATCCTTTCCATTAATACACCACTGTCATTTAAAATAACCAAAAGTGTTTAACACGACACAGCTTTCCTAAACTTTATTTGTGACTAAACTTTATATAGCCTTTGAATCATCACAGCATTTATGGGTTTTTCTGTTCCATCAATCCACCGCTATTGGGAGGCCTACCTAGCTTAGGTGCTGTAAAAGATACCAAGAAAGTCATGGTCCCTGCTTTCAATAAACACATCCTGCAATGGCTTATACATAAGTGTGCAACTGAAACATACATGTTGATTGAAGAGGGAAATTATTCTATAAAATGGCAGTACCAGAACACAAATATAGATCTCTCTGTAGCTAAAGCTTAGACGCTCTCTCTCTCTCTCTCTCTCTCTCTCTCTCTCTCTCTATATATATATATATATATATATATATATATATGTTCTGCATGTAACATATATATATATATATGTTCTACATGTAACTTCTTGGTTGAGAAGTTCCTTGATATCAAGGACTGGATTATGTACTCTGTAATGAGGTCATAGTGTCATATACAGAGCAGAACTCAGTAAATGTTGTGGATGGTAGTGTGGAATAAAGTCAAACCAAACCGTGATATTAAAGGGAAATAATACTTCCTTATGTGATGCACTAAAAAGAACACGACATTGTTTCCATAGAATTCTTGCAAAGAAAGCGTGACCGTGACCTGAAACAGGTCATGAGGAAATATCAGGCAGACCTAGGTCTAGGGTCATTCTGAAGACTATCAGTCTCCAATAGAACTTTTTGCAATGATGAAAATGTCCTATGTTTTTAGCTACACTGTCAAATTTGATAACCACATGTCAAATGCGGCTATTGAGCACTTAAACATGGCTGGTATGACTGAGAGGTGGAATTTTAAATTTTATTTTAATTAGTTTTAACTTAGATAACTACATGTGCTTAGTGGCTACCATATTAGACAGCCCAGCTATAGACCCTCAACTATCTGTTGAGAAGATGAAAAACAAGGGAAGAGTGAAGAACTGTTCACAGGTTGGAAGAGACCAAAAAGATATGACAAGTAAATGCACTGAGTTCCTGGATGAGATCCTGGAGCAGAAGGAGAAAGAGTCATTGCTGGAACAGTTTGAAAATTGAATAGCATCTGTGTTTTAGACAGAAGTGTGGTATTACTATTTCTTGACTTCGAGCGTAAGAAAGTATCCTTGTTCTTGGTAAATGGGAGAATTCTGGGGTGATAGGAAATACCATTTGCAGTTTACTCTCAAATAGTTCATAAAAGACTAATATTAAAAGAAAAGAGCAATAAATACAGTAAGAATTTATATTGCATAAGGACAATTCTAAATTACATGAAGAGAAAGCTTATTTGGAGGATTTTATCTTTGTCTCAAAGGGTAGGAATCATTTTTATTCTTATTTTATTTACTGAATTTATTTATTTATTTTGAGACAGGGTCTCGCTCTGTCACCCAGGCTGGAGTGCAGTGGCAGGATCTCAGCTTTCTGCAAACTGCCTCCCAGGTTCAAGTGATTCTCCTGCCTCAGCCTCCTGAGTAGCTGCGATTACAGGCATGCACCACCAAGCCTGGCTAATTTTTGCATTTTTAGTAGAGATGGGGTTTCGCCATGTTGGCCAGGCTGGTCTCAAACTCCTAGCCTCAACTGATCGGCCCATTTCTGCCTCCCAAAGTGCTGAGATTACAGGCATCAACCACTGCACTCAGCCAGGAATGATTTTTAAAAGTGAAGATAGTGTAAGAGGTTATTCGTGTCAGTGAAAATAGTACCCCAAATAAACTTCAGGAACCTAAAACAAAAATCATGGTAAAGCTCCAATTCCTTGTCTAGCAACCTCATAAGAAGTCACTCATTCTGTGCTTGAACAGTTCTAGACACAAAAAAATCATTACCCTCTCTGAGGAAGCTCATGCTGTTATCAGACAGGTTTAGCCTTTAGAAAATTATTCTTTATTCTAAAACAAAATCTGTCTACATAAATTCCTCCACCTTCACTCCCTTGGTCATACTTCTTCTCTTTAAGGCCATAAAGAACAAGTCTGACCCCTCTTCGTCTTCCGTATGATGGTTTTCTGCATATTTTAAAACAATGTACTCTTCCCTAAGCTAAATATCATAAATCCCCACTTTTTTTAGTCTTTTCAATCTTAGTTTTCTGAACATGTAAAGATTTTTCTATATCTTTCTTAGAATGTGGTGAGCCTACAAGAGCCCAACATTCTTCATATCATCTGACCAGGATGATAGGAATTCTGCTTTGGGAGAGTTCTTCCATTGAGTTTAACAATAGCTAAAAGCTCTCTTGCTTGAGCTGTCTTGCATGTTATTGTGGGGTACTTGGTTTTTACAACTCAAATGTAGGAACTTATATTTTATCACTATTGCCTGAATTTTCTTTGAGTCCAGTAATTACTCCAGCTTGCAGAGATCCTTCTGGGTCCTGACTTGACATACAAAATATTTTATATCCCTCCCAGCTTTATATCATTTTTAATTATAATGAGATTAGTTGTTATGTGGCTATTATTAACATTTAATTATAATAATTACTGTAAAATGAATTAGAAAATGATTTATGTTAAGAGATAAATCACAAAGGATAATAAAATGTAGAATTATAAAAATTACTGAAAAGATAAGGGTTTGTATGAAGAGAAATTGAGATAAACAAGGAGTTAGAATATGTTAAAGAGAGAATCATAAAGTAAGCAATTGGTAAAACACACAAGAACAAGAATTTTACTTATGAATTAAAAGTCATTGCTCCAGAAAGGCACAGGCATAATTTCATCTAAATCTTAATGTATTTAATAACAAGGGCTATTTTGCTTCTTTCTATTTGATAAGATATTGGGACATGGCATCCAAAGTTGGTGTGTCTGAGCTAAGTTGTAAATAAGGTCTTAAATCTGCTGCTAAAATTTTTTAGTGATTTCCCCTATTATCTAAAGAGAGAATCCATGATATGGAAAGTAACACTCTCTACATCTAGCTCAGGTGCCTTAATATCTTGCCACCCTTCTCTGCATGGAGAATTACACAATACATACATGTAATATATATCATATATTAATTATATTATTATATGTATTATATATGTCATATATATAATTTCTGGGCAACCTTCCTTCCTTCACTTGATAAACCCTTTGCTCAGGCTTAGTTAAGGCACCATTTACTTTCAAAATGACTATGTTTCTTCCTCTTGACCTCCATTTATTTACCATGTGTATCTATTTTGTGCATATGTTCGACAGAGGACATCCCTTAAAATTACTTCTTTGTATAAGCTACTGCAGGGAGGCTAACAGGGGAGTATTTGGGATATAGTAGATGCTTAATCTATATGTGTTGAATGAATGAAGAAGGAATATAGAATATCGAGTTTACAGACATACCCAGGTGGAACAGCTGCCACTGAGGGATCGAGATGACGGGCTCACTCCTAATAGATCTTCAGAGGCAAGGCACTGAAAGTGGATGGAGGGAAGAAACAGAAGCTGGGCTGAAGGTATAGGAAGCTGGGAATCTTGCACAGAGCAACTGTGCACCAGGACACATTCCTGGCCCCTGACAACTCTGGGGGAAGGAATGAGTTCAACTGGCAAGGAGTAACCAGCTTTTGCCAAAGGGCTCTAGAATCCCAGCAGGAGGAGACTCTTCAACCACCATGAAGAGTTGAGTTGGTGAGGAGAACTGCTTAGAGAAGTAGCAGGGGCAGCATGCCAGGCTTTGCAGAGCTCAGGGGATTTGGTGCAGGAACATCTGTAAGGGAGCATGGCCAGGGACACCCATCCCTCCAGGCTCCACTTGCTTCCAGAGGAGACTTTAGCCCTAGGGGAACTGTCAACCTGAAGTCTGCAGGGCAATCTTGCCCATCAGATGGGGCTGGTCTGACCTGAGCACCCCTTGGTCTGCTGGCCTCTCCTGGGGCCCCAGCCTGGCCAACTTGCTGACAGTGTGGACATAGGTGCCCTGGGGGCCCACACCATAGCTCCTGCACAGGCAGACTGCACCTGACCAGCAGAGAGCTCCAGCAGAGTGGCCCTCAGAGCCATGCACCAACTCACCTGATTCCTCCCCCATGGAGCTTGCCCAGGGCCCACTGCCACCCCACACATTGCTCTGCCAGCATGTGTGTGTACCTTTGGATTTTGCCTTCCCTGACCCATGAGCATGCGTGTGTGTGTGTTCCCTGCCCCATTCCCCTTCCTACCTTACCACCATTGCACCACTCTGCTCCCCTTCCCTTGCCTTACCACCATTGTATTCAAGTCTTGGAGGGCACAGAGCCCACCAGCCCCATCCCCTCCAGTGCCCTGCCCTTGCACCAACACTGCTACCAGAATGAAACTAGGCAAGGAGAACAGAGTCCCTCCCCCACCCTGACTAGCCACCCCAGCCTGGGTGAACATACACAAATGGCACATTCAGACCCACTCCTGCCAGTGCCCTGCCCCTGTGTTAACACCATCACCAGTGCAAATGTGCACACAGGCACCAGTCAGAGACCCCTGACCCCCCAACTGTACTACCTCTGCCAGTGTTGTGAATGCCCACAGGGAGGCTGGCACTCTGAAGCCTGCTTTTCACTCTGCCACAGCTGACAAGCATGTGCCCTGCAGCACTGCTACTGCTGGAACATGTGAATGAGGATGGATCCTGCTGCCACTGCCCTACAAAATGCTTTGGCTGGCAACACCCACTGGAGTGTAGAAACCAGTGGTCTGGGAGCACCTAGGCTCCTCTAGTGGAGTGGATTCCTAACCTTGAGGAACCAGAGAACAAATTCAGGGCCAACACAAGTCCCCCAGAGTTAGAGCATATAGTCCAGAAGTTGGGAGCTGAGCCTTGGTCCCCTCAAATTGCCCAGAAATGAATCCAGTCGACTGAACCCGCCTTATACTACAATCAAACTCTCAAGAGAATAAAATAAAATGAAGGAAGAAAAAAAAAGCCTATCCAAAGAATGGCAACTTCAAAGACTGAAGGAATACCAGTCCACAAAGATGAGAAAGAACCCTGACAACTCAAAAAGCCAGAGTGCCTTCATTCCTCCAAATGACTGCTATCTCTCCAGCAAGGGTTCTGAACTGGGCCGAGATGGCTGAAATGAGAGAAATAGAATTTAGAATATGGATAGAAACAAAGATCATTGAGATGCAGGAGTACATTGAAACCCAATCCAAGGAAGCTAAGAATCACAATAAAATGATACAGAAACTGACAGACAAAATAACCAGTATAGAAAAGAATGTAACTATGATAGAGCTGAAAACACATTACAAGAATTTCATAATGCAATTGCAAGTATTCCTAACAGAATAGACCAAGCAGAGGAAAGAATCTCAGAGCTTGAAGACTGGCTTTCTAAAATACAACAGTCAGAAAAAAATAGTGAGAAAAAGAATGAAAAGGAATGAACAAAACCTCTAAGAAATATGGGATTATGTGAAGAGAGCAAATCTGTAACTCATTGGTGTCCTTGAAAGAGATGGGGAGAATGGAAGCCACTTGGAAAACATATTTCAGGATATCATCCATGAGAACTTTCCCAACCTAGTTAGAGAGGCCAACATTCAAATGCAGGAAATGCAAAGAACCACAGTAAGAAAGAAGATGATCCTCAAGACACGTAATCATCAAATTCTCCAAGGATGAAATTAAAGAAAAAGTGTTAAATGCAGCTAGAGAGAAAGGTTAGGTCACCTACAAAGGGAAGCCCAACAGACTAACAGTGAACCTTTCAGCAGAAACCCTACAAGCCAGAAGAGATTGTGGGCCAATATTTAACATTCTTAAAGAAAAGAAATTCCAATGCCAAATTTAATGGCCAAACTAAGCTTCACAAGCAAAGGAGAAATAAGATCCTTCTCAGACAAGCAAATGCTGAGGGAATTTGCTATCACCAGACCTACCTTACAAGAGCTCACAAAGGGAATACTAAATATGGAAAAGAAAGACCATTACCAGCCATGATAAAAACACACTGAAGTACACAGACCAGTGACACTGTAAGCAACCACATACATAAACAGGTCTGCAAAATAACCAGCTAACATTATCATGACAGGATCAAATCCACACATATCAATACTAACCTTAAATGTAAATGGGCTAAATGCCCCAATTAAAAGACACAGAGTGGCAAGCTGGATAAAAAACCAAGACCCATTGGTATGCTGTCTTCAAGAGCTTCATCTCACGTGCAATGACAAACATGGGCTCAAAATAAAGGGATGGAGAAAAATCTACCAAGCAAATGAAAAACAAAAAAAAAAGCAGAGGTTGCAATCCTAGTTTCTGACAAAACAGACTTTAAACCAACAAAGATCAAAAAAGACAAAGAAGGGCATTATATTATGGTAAAGGGTTCAATTCAACAAGAAGATCTAACTATCCTAAATATATATGCAAAAAACACAGGAGCACCCAGATTCATAAAGCAAGTTTTTTCTTAGAGACCTTCAAAGAGACTTAGACTCACACACAATAATAGGGGAGACTTTAACAGCCTACTGACAATATGAGACACATCACTGAGACAGAAAATTAACAAAGATATTCAGGACCTGAACTCACCACTGTATCAAATGGACCTGATAGATATCTACAGAACTCTCCACATAAAAACAACAGAATATACATTCTTCTCATAGTCACATGGCACATACTCTATAATCAGTCACATAATCAAAAGTAAAACACTCCTCAGTAAAGCAAAGTAACTGAAATCATAACAAACAGTCTCTTGGACCACAGTGAAATCAAATTAGAAATCAAGACTAAGACATACACTAAAAACCATACAATTACATGAAAATAGAATAACCTGTTCCTGAATGACTTCTGGGTAAATAATGAAATTAAAGTTGAAATCAAGAAGTTATCTGAAGCTAATGAGAACAAAGATACAACATACCAGAATCTCTGGGACACAGCTAAGGCAGTGATAAGACAGAAATTGATAGCACTAAATGCCCACATAACAAAGTTAGAAAGATCTCAAGTTAACAACCTAATGTAACAACTAACAGAACTAGGGAAACAAGAGCAAACAAATCTCAAATTAGCAGAAGACAAGTAACCAAAATCAGAGCCGAACTGAAGGAGACTGAGACAACATGAAAAAGTATTCTATAGATCAACAAATCCAGAAATTGGTTTTTTGAAAAAATTAATAAGATAGGCCACTAGTTAGACTAATAAAGAAGAAAAGAGAGATGATCCAAATAAGCATAATTAGAGACAACAAAGAGGATATTGACCCCACAGCAATAGAAAAAACCATCAGAGAATATTATGCACTTAGAACATCTCTATGCACATAAGCTAGAAAATCTAGAAGAAATTGATAAATTCCTGTATACATACACACTCCCAAGACTGAACCAGGAATAAATTGAATCCCTGAACAGACCAATAGCAAGCTCTGAAATTAAATCAGTAATAAATAGCTTACCAACAACAACAACAAAAACCCAAAACCAAGAAACCCAGAATCAGATGGATTCATAGCCAAATTCTACTTGAACTATGAAGAAGAGCTGGTACCATTACCATTCCTACTGAAACTCTTCCAAAAAATTAAAGAGGAAGGACTCCTCCTCAACTCATTTAATGAGACCAGCAATATCCTGATACTAAAACCTGGGAGAGACACAACAACAAAATAAAACTTTAGGCCAATATTATTGACAAATATTGATGCAAAAATCCTCAACAAAATATTTGAAAACCAAATCCAGCAGTGCATCACAAAGCTTATCCACCACTATAAAGTGGGCTTTAATCCCTGGGATGCAATTTTGGTTCAACATATGCAAATCAATAAATGTGATTCATCACATAAACAGAACTAAAGAGAAAAACCACATGGTGATCTCAACATATGCAGAAAAGGCTTTCATTAAAATTCAACACCCCTTCATGTTAAAAACTCTCAATAAACTAGATATTGAAGGAACACACCTTAAAACAGTAACAGCCATCTATGGCAAACCCACAGCCAACTCATGCCAAATGGACAAAAGTTGGAAGAATTCTCCTTTAAAATTGGCACAAGGTTGCCCTCTCTCGCCACTCTTATTCAACATAGTATTAGAATCCCAGAGCAATCAGGCAAGAGAAAGAAATAAAGCGCATCCAAATAGGAAGAGAGGAAGTCAAACTATACCTGTTTGTAGACAACATGATTCTATATCTAGAAAATCCCATAGCCTTGATCCAAAAGTTCCTTCAGCTGATAAACAACTTCAGCGAATCTCAGGATACAAAATCAACGTACAAAAATCACTAATGTGGCCGGGCGCGGTGGCTCACGCCTGTAATCCCAGCACTTTGGGAGGCCGAGGCGGGCGGATCACGAGGTCAGGAGATCGAGACCATCCTGGCTAACACGGTGAAACCCCGTCTCTACTAAAAATACAAAAAATTAGCCGGGCGTGGTAGCGGGCGCCTGTAGTCCCAGCTACTCGGGAGGCTGAGGCAGGAGAATGGCGTGAACCCGGGAGGCGGAGCTTGCAGTGAGCCGAGATCGCGCCACTGCACTCCAGCCTGGGCGACAGAGCGAGACTCCGTCTCAAAAAAAAAAAAAAAAAATCACTAATGTTCCTATACACTAACAACAGTGAAGCAGAGAGCCAAATCAGAACTCAATCCCACTCACAATTGCCACAAAAAAGAATAAAATGCCTAGAAATACAGTTAACCAGGGAGGTTAAAGATCTCTACAATTAGAACTACAAAACACTGTTCAAAGATGCCAGAGATAACACAAATGGAAAAACATGCCATGCTCATGGATAGGAAGAATCAACATCATTAAAATGGCCATACTGCCCAAAGAAATTTATAGATTAAATGCTATCAAACTACCAATTACATTCTCTATAGAACTGAAAAAAACTATTTTAAAATTCATTTGGAACCAAGAGAAGCCCAAATAGCCAAGGCAATCCTAAACACAAAGAACAAAGCTGGAACAATCCTAAGCAAAAAGAAAAAAACTGGAGGCATCACACTACCTGACTTCAAACTATACAAGACTACAGTAATCAAAACAGCATGGCACTGGTACAAAAACAGACACATAGACCCCCAATGGAACAGAATAGAGAGCCCAGAAATAAGGCCGTACACCTATAACCATCTGATCTTCAACAAAGCAGACAAAAACAAGCAATGCGGAAAGGACTCCCTATTCAATAAATGGTGCTGAGATAACTGGCTAGCCATATGCAAAAGAGTGAAACTGGATCCCTTCCTTACATCATAAAAAATCAACTCAAGTGGATTACATACTTAAATGTAAAACCAAAAACTATAAAACCCTGGAAGACAATCTAGGCAATACTATTATGGACATAGAGACAAGCAAAGATTTCATGATGAAGATGCCAAAAGCAATTGAAACAAAAGCAAAAATTGACAAATATGATCGAATTAAAATAAAGAGCTTCTGCACAGCAAAGTAACTATCCATAGAGTAAACAGACAACCTACAGAGTGGAGGAAAATATTTGCAAACTATGCCTCTGACAAAAGTCTAATATCCAGTAGCTACAAGGAACTTAAACAAATTTACATGAAAAAACCATTAAAAAGTAGGCAAAGGATATAAACAGACACTTTTCAAAAGAAGACATACATGAAGCCAGTAAGCATATGCAAAAAAGCTCAACATCACTGGTCATTAGAGAAATGCAAATAAAAACCGCAATGAGATACTGTATTAGTCCATTTTCACACTACTAATAAAGACATCCCTGAGACTGGGTAATTTGCAAAGGAAAGAGGTTTTATTGATTCATAGTTCTGCGTGGCTGAGGAAGCCTCAGGAAACTTACAGTCTTGGCAGAAGGCAAGAGAGAAGCAAGGCACCTTCTTCACAAGGCAGCAGGAAGAAGTGCCTGCAGGGGAAATTGGAGATGCTTATAAAACCATCAGATCTTGTGAGAACTCACTCACTACCATGAGAACAGCATGGGGGGAACCACCCCCATGATCTAATCACTTCCCACCAGGTCCCTCCCATGACACATGAGGATTATAGGAGCTACAATTCAAGATGAGTTTTGGGTGGGGACACAGCCAAACCATATCAGGTACCATCTCATACCAGTCAGAATGGCTATTATTAAAATGTCAAAAAATAACAGATGCTGGCAAGGTTTCAGAGAAAAGGGAATGCCTATAAACTATTGGTGGGAGTTGAATTAGTTCAACCGGGGTGGGGGGAGAGGGGAGGGATAGCATTTAGGAGATATACCTAATGTAAATGAGGAGTTAATGGGTGCAGCACACCAACATGGCCCATGTATACATATGTAACAAACCTGCACATTGTGCACATGTACCCTAGAACTTAAAGTATAATAACAATTAAAAAAAAAAGACTTTAAAATAGCAAAAAAAAAAAAAAAAGAAAGAAAAGAAATTAGTTCAACCATTGTGGAAAGCAGTGTGGCAATTCCTCAAAGAGCTAAAAACAGAGCTACCATTCAACCTAGAAGTCCCATTATTTGGTATATACCCAAAGGCATATAAATTGTTCTATCATAAAGACACATGCACACATATGTTCACTGTAGCACTATTCACAATAGCAAAGACATAGAATCAGCCTAAATGCTCATCAATGATAGACTGTATAAAGAAAACATGGTATATATACACCATGGAATACTATGCAGCCATAAAAAAGAATGAGATCATATCATTTCCAGGAACATGGATGGAACTGGAGGCCATTATTCTTAGCATAATAATGCAGGAAAAGAAAACCAAATATCACACACTCTCACTTATAATTGGGAGTTAAATGATGAGAATACATGGACACACAGAGGGGAACAACAGATATTGCTGTCTACCAGAGGGTGGAGGGTGACAGGAGGGAGAGGATCAGGAAAAGTAAATAAGGGGTACTAGGCTGCGTACCTGGGTGATAAAAATAATGTATACAACAAACCACATGACACATGCTTGTCTATATAACAAACCTGCACATGTACCCCTGAACTTAAAAGGTTTTTAAAAAAGAATATTGAGTCTGGAATCAAGTTATTGTATTATTTGGGACTCTTTGATTGCCAGTGTGACACACCAAATCAAATTAGTGGAAGCATTTTAAAAAGGGGGAAGGGTATAGATTTGTAGAGGTGGAAAAGTATTTCTCAGAAAACTTAAGAGAGGAAGCCAGATCCCTGGAAAATCTGAGATCAGGACCTAAAAGGACATGAAGACACTTTCATTCTCTTCTATTTCTACTTTTTTTCAGATCATCTGTTGTGTTCTTTCTCACTGCAGAACAGCTTTTTCATCCACATATCAGCTCTTGGATTTACATCTAAGTTTCAGCTGCATATTATGGCTGTCTCACAATCTTTCTATTCCAATTCCAAATGTGTGAGAAGGAACTGTGATTGATCCAGGTTGAGTCAGGTATCACCATTGTCCAATCAGCCAAGAGGAGGAAGGAGGTGATATTGCGGTGCAATATGGCTGCTGGCCAGGCATTCTCAGAATGAGGGAGAGGTTCCAGAACTCAGCAGGCACTCAAATATGATCTACTACAGGCTATCAAGTTTTCAAAGAATGCAGGGAACTGCAGCAAAAAGGAGAGTTTTGGTCAAAAACTTGGATTTAAAAAACATTCTTTGGGAATTTTAAGTTGAAACAGTGACAAAAATTACCTTTTCTTCTTCTTTTTCTTAATCATGGGTGATCTGGGAAAGATCTATCTTGAACATCCACTGTTTAACTCAGATAATTATAAATTATGCATGAAAGATCATATGCCTACTTGTAAACACTTGGGCTCTGAGATTCTCTGATGTTCTCATGGGACAAGCATGTGGATGTGGGGCAGATACCTATTTTTTTTTTAACGTTTATTAAGAGTCAGGTAGTTGATGTATTTTACTCACTAAATTGTCACTTTAACCATAGGAGAAAACATTTTCTTCATTTTACAGATAAAGGCTCTGAAGCTTTGAGGCTAAGTAAATTGCTCAAGATCATACAGTTCATCAAACAGCAGAGTGAGACTTGGAATCTAGGTCTCCTGGACTAAAACCTATGCTCCTATACCATCCCAGAGTGCCTCCCTGCAAGCAGTTAAGAAGCCAGGACAGAGCTTAAAATTGTCATTCTAGTCAGTGCCAAACAGTTTAGAGTTGAATTGTTCTGTAAATGTTTTTGTGTTTGCCAGGTCTTCACATGGAGGATATAAATTCTTTAACGGTAGTGATGGTGTTATAAATTTCTCTTGCCTCCTTCACAGCATCTCATGCAGCTCTGGATACTGAAGAGGCCTTACTGAATACTTAGACTGATCAATGATTCTGATCCCTGGTGATAATTGCATAGCATCTTCACACTGAGGTTGTAATCCTCATGAATCTTTTATTTAGAAGCCTCCCCCTCCTTGGGTACAGTGGCAGGTACAACATAGGGGAAGATGGAGCATGTAATAATAGTAGCCAAACAACCAGTTTTATTCTCCAAACTTACCACCTCCCAGTCTCTGAATCTTTGTCCTTTTTCATGTCATGCAGCGTCATTATAGGGAATGCCAACGAGCAGTGCTTAGCTGTGTTTTCCAGAGTCTTGGAGCATCCCTAAGCTATATTGTCAGTGCTCCTGCCACAGATATTCACTATTCCTTCCCATATAATTCATTAAATAACCCAGCCATGACTGAGCTGCAGTCTGACATTTGACCAATTCAAGTCTGCTGACCTCATGCCTCTTCCCAGAAGCAACTGATGACTACTGTCCAAAGTACAGAATTAGAAAAGTGATTTGAAGAGATCAACAGATTCACCTGAGAGTTATTGATAGCCAACATGTTTTTCCAACAACAAAAATAATTCAAAATTGTCAGCTGGGCCAATTTTTCCCTAAGATTTCTTAAAAAGCATAATGGTACTATTATTAATAGTTATTATTTGTCTTACCTACTATTGGGGGGAGCTTGCTAAATGCTTTAAATATATTGACTTATTGAATAATTCTCTGGGTTACCATAAAGTCTGTGCAATGGACTATAGAGGGAATTAAAGAAGGTAGGATAGAGACAACCTGTGTGGCTTACAGATAGAGCTGTTCCAAAGCCCCCAGATAATCCACACATCCCTGAAACTTCTTATTTTGTTGGGACCCAAAGGGCCCTATAAACAACACCTTACCTAACAAGTAGGACTGTATGTGTCTTGTTTACTATTATATCCCCAGTGCTTGAAATATAGTAGCTGTTAAAAATATGCATAGAATGGATAAATAATTTATTAAATGAATGATTCCATGAAAGGTCTTCCTCACATTTAGAAAACATGGGTGATATCTTAAGCTACCAATCTGAGGAATAAAGAGAAATACCTGTAGCATTGCCTGCATCCCATTACCTGTATCCCATGATTAGAGAGTGTCTGTTTTAAAATAGTAAATATCTGTCTACTAGCAAAATCATATTAGGCTCTTGACAATCATTTAGAGCTTAGAGAGAATCTGCTTATCAAATCCCTTTCTGCCCAGGCTGCTAGCTGAGGCATGACTAGGCCCAGAGAGTTCAAGGGGAGACGGGGATGTAGGCCTGCAATTCTATGGTTCCAAGAAAAATCAGACAGATGCCCTGCCTGCACCATCTAAGCTATAGCCGGTCCTGGGAGAATCTAAAGGCCCAGAG